>NC_000012.12:102005582-102308612 GCF_000001405.40 Homo sapiens | reverse complement strand
AAAGTGGGCGAAGGACATGAACAGACACTTCTCAAAAGAAGACATTTATGCAGCCAAAAAACACATGAAAAAATGCTCATCATCACTGGCCATCAGAGAAATGCAAATCAAAACCACGATGAGATACCATCTCACACCAGTTAGAATGGCAATCATTAAAAAGTCAGGAAACAACAGGTGCTGGAGAGGATGTGGAGAAATAGGAACACTTTTACACTGTTGGTGGGACTGTAAACTAGTTCAACCATTGTGGAAGTCAGTGTGGCGATTCCTCAGGGATCTAGAACTAGAAATACCATTTGACCCAGCCATCCCATTACTGGGTATATACCCAAAGGACTATAAATCATGCTGCTATAAAGACACATGCACACGTATGTTTATTGCGGCATTATTCACAATAGGAAAGACTTGGAACCAACCCAAATGTCCAACAATGATAGACTGGATTAAGAAAATGTGGCACATATACACCATGGAATACTATGCAGCCATAAAAAAGGATGAGTTCATGTCCTTTGTAGGGACATGGATGAAATTGGAAATCATCATTCTCAGTAAACTATCGCCAAGAACAAAAAACCAAACACCGCATATTCTCACTCATAGGTGGGAATTGAACAATGAGATCACATGGACACAGGAAGGGGAATATCACACTCTGAGGACTGTTATGGGGTCGGGGGAGTAGGGAGGGATAGCATTGGGAGATATACCTAATGCTAGATGATGAGTTAGTGGGTGCAGCACACCAGCATGGCACATGTATACATATGTAACTAACCTGCACAATGTGCACATGTACCCTAAAACTTAAAGTATAATAAAAAATAATAATAATAAAAAAATAAATTGTAAAGCATTTCTGGCATTAATTTCTTTTCATAAATTGTCACGACTTACACATACCATGTATGACATGTTTAGACTTTCTGACCTGCCCTAAACATCCCTCTTTTTAAACAACCAGTCATTTTACTTTAGGACAATAATTTACCAAAAAACATCCTTTCTTATGTAAAATCTCTTTATAACCTTCTTTGCATAGCTAGGGGACATGGATAATTCCATATATCCCCAGGCCTTATTTAGAATTTAATGTCTTCAAAATAAATTGAACAATTTTCAAAAGTCAAAGCAGTTTATGACCTTAAAGCATTTAGCAAACCTAATATCTGACCGGCATAATTTAGACAAAATGTGTTTATTTTATCAATAATCTTTAAAGCTGTTTTTATTTCCCAGTAATTACTAAAGTTACATGAACTAAAAGGCCTTACAGTTTTTATTTTGCTTTCAAAATATTTTATTTAAGCACTTGTTTTTGTTTAAGCCAATTAATTGGAGCTCTTTTATATAAACATTACACACAACACATATATAATTACACAAATAGACAGACATAAGAAGATTACTACAGTAGTTATAAGATTTTTCATTTGCCAGTTTTTAAGTTTCTTAATTGGTTATTGGCTTTAGGGTGGAGCCCTAGGAAGAACAGGGCCAGGAAATGGGTTTCTGGTGCCTCCTGTTTTTCCCAAGGAATCCAGGCTCTTAGAGCTTGAATATCTGCTTTTAATTAAGCTGACTTTTAACCATAGCACCCTTTAATAATATCCTTTTAAAATTTCTTATTACCCAGTTTGGCCAATATTTCTGGTTTTGAACTTTACCAAAGGTAACCTCCCAGGTGCTCAGCGAAAGGAAAACTTAGGATAGTCCATGGTGGAGAAGAGACTAGACAAGGTTATGTAGATATTAAACCAGAAAAGGCTTGCTTTCTAAGCAGGGAATTGAACCTGGACTTCTAGTGTGAAAGGCCAAAACCTTATGTACCAAGCTATACCACAGGGAAAGTTCCACTGTTCTTCCCAGAAGGAGTCTAGAGTAGTTAATTTTGAGCTTGTAGAGGCTTTTAACTACTTAAGATAATTTTTAGAGCTAACTATGACATAAAACCTAAAATTCGTGTTCCCTGGAAGGTGGAGACCAAGAGAAAGTACTGCCACGTGGTTACAAGGTCAAGCTCCCAAGGACATGAAACAAGATGGAGACCCCATCCAGTTTTTCATTTGTTTGTTTCAGGGACCTGCAGGAAAGTTTGTTATTGACCAGCCTGCTGGGCCATCTTGAGCAGCGAGCTTATGGGGTCCTAAGCCCATGTTTTATCTTAAGGCACCCCTTGACACAGAAAAACAAATTCATAGCACAAATATATCAGTTTAAGACTAGCCTCGGAATTCTTTTTTGCATTAATCAAAACTTTACAGAAGAGATAAACAGTGACTTTTTTCTTTTTCTTTCTTTTTTTTTTTTTTTGAGATGGAATTTCACTCTTGTTGCCCAGGCTGGAGTGCAATGGCGTGATCTTGGCTCACTGCAACCTCCGCCTCCTGGGTTCAAGTGATTCTCCTGCCTCAGCCTCCCGAGTAGGTGGGATTACAGGCACCTGCCACCACACCCAGCTAATTTTTTGTATTTTTAGTAAAGATGGGGTTTTGCCATGTTGGCCAGGCTGGTCTTGAACTCCTGACCTCAAGTGATCCGCCCACCTCAACCTCCCAAAGTGCTAGGATTACAGGTGTGAGCCACCGTGCCTGGCTTAAACAGCAATTTTTACCATTTAATCAACTGTCTGCACAGAGAGGGAGAAGCCAGAAATCTGACTGGTAAGAAATTCTTACCCTTTGGCCTGCATGCCAGGTTTCTGTGTTTCCTTTCCCTAAGTGGCCCCGGTAACCCAGCTTGCCACACCATCCCATTGGGGGACAAGCTGCATCATAAAGGAAAATTATCTTTTTTCATTCTGGCCAGAGTAAAACACATGTGATAAACAGACATTAGCCACTCTGCTTAGCACCCAATATCAAACTGACAAGGCTTAAATTTGCCCTCAGCTGGGCCCCATCATCTTTAATCCAACCTCTGACTAGGAGTTTCAACACATGGTCTCTGGGCATGATGGTTGCCCTGAGTAACAGAAAAGATGAAAAACAGAAAGGAGAGAGAGAAAAGGTTTGCCTATGGCAGGGTGGGGAAGGCAAAATGCTCAGGAAGACCAGAGAAAAACCAACCCATTGCAGTGATACTGAGAAGTTCAGGCGGCTGCAGCTGCTGTTGTAAAAGGATTTTTTTTCCAGCAGTCCCATCAGCTTTCAAGTTTTCCCTTTTGGGGGAGGAAAAAGCTCTCCGTGTCCCACGATCCTAATTCTGTCACCCATAGTTGTCAGCAAAGAGTGCAAGGCAGATTATTCCAAAGAAAACAGCAGTTGACATCCCGTAGTGCCAACCCTGTTCTTAGCCAAAAGGGACTTTACCAAGAGCCCTCATTTGTAAATGTACTTCAGTGCATTGTTGTTCATTCGGAACGTTCCACTGTAAGTTACCTTTAGTAAGATTTTGCCATTTCTGTAAGACTTCACTGCCTCCCAGGCCTAAAGTATAAGCCAGAAGGAACTCAGTTTTCCAGAAATTAAGGATTCCATTTTTACCTAAAATATTGGCTTTACTCTCAGGCTCTCTTGATTAACTTATCCAATGATTTTTTTTCCTACCGATGCAGGCAAGAAAAATGAACAAAAGGGTAGAGCACAAAAATCCTTGTGAATTTTCAAAAGCCAAACTCTATAACCCCTGAAATATTACTGCTTACTACCAGTTCCTTTCTGACCCAGTCAGATGTAAGAGGCCTCTAACTGGATCCAAGCCAGTTAATTCCCGGATCAAATCTGTTCCTGGACCCAGTCCAGTTTCTGTCACAACTCCAAACCCAGTTTGGATCAGAAATTTGCCCAAAGAAACTCAGAGAGCTCAAAACACAAATCCGTGGAGCTCCAAAATCCAAGAGGGAACTTACCCACGATGCCCAGCTGCTCTGAGAGATCAATGGACACAAGTGGGTCCTGCAGGTACCTTGCGTGTTTACTCAGCACTCCTGGGGGTCACTAGAAGCTCCACTTTGGATCCTGCTTCTGACATTATCTGATAAAAGAAAAACTTCAGCTGAGTTAAATTTAAAGGAGTTTAATTGAGCAATGAACGATTCACGAATTGGGCATCCCCAGAATCACAGCAGATACACAGAGACTCCAGGGGTGCCTTGTGGTCAGAACAAATTTATAGACAAAAAGTTAAAGTGATGTATGGGAATCAAAAGTGAAGTACAGAAACAGTGAGGTTGGTCACAGCTCTGCGTTTGCCTTGTTTGAACACTCAGCAGTCTATGAGTGGTTGAAGTATGACCACTGGAATGGCCAACACTCAACTATTGTTACGGTGCATACTATTAAGTTAGGTTTTCAATTTTGTCTGGCTATTAAGCTAGGTTACAGTTCATCTACAAGGACTCAAATATAGAAATACAGAGTCCTTCTCAGGCCATATTTAGTCTGCTTTAACAGATGCCTGTATTAATCTGTTCCACACTGCTAATAAAGACATACTCAAGACTGGGTAATTTGTAAAGCAAAGAGGTTTAACGGACTCACAGTCCCACAAGGCTGCCTCACAATCATGAAGGAAAGTGAATGAGGAGCAAGGTCACATCTTACATGGCAGCAGCTAAGAGAGAGCTTGTGCAGGGGAACTCCCATTTATAAAGCCATCAGATTTCATGAGATGTATTCACTACCACAAGAACAGAATGGGGTAAACTGCCCCCATGATTCAATCTCCACGTGGCTCTGTCCTTGACAGGTGGGGATTATTACAATTCAAGGTGAGATTTGGGTGGGGACACAGCCAAACCATATCAGTGCCATACTAGCAGAGTCAAGCCGAGTTGAACTGGGACCACTTCACACACACACCAAAAGTTACTAGCACTTAAAGTGGGTATATCATTTAGAGGGAAGTCTGTCATTGTCCCTGTTCCAGGACCAGAGCTGTGGCTCAGAGATTTTGCCCAAACGTAGAGAAGCACGCTGTATAACAGAATACTTAAAATCTCTCCCCAAAGAAATTGACTTCATTTCCAACAAACCATGGACAATTTCAAGCCTAAAGTCACTCTCAAAAACAGTGAAAGTTTGTGAAAAGCAATTGGGAAAAAATTGATAGATTTGTTAGAGATATAGCCTAAGTTGTAAGCTGGATGATTTGCTATAGAGAAATAGAAAGCAAGACATCTGGGAGGAACCCTCTTAGGGTCAAAACAAATCTCAAAAACTGACCTCAGGAACAATTTTTTAAGAAGAGCCCAAATTTTTGGGTCAGTTTGTAAAACAATCTATATTCCAGGGCATTGTTGAAAGCAACAGAGCCATCAGCCAGCAAGTAAGTAGTGGAGCATAATACCTGGGTATGACCAGAGAAAAAGACAAAAGAGAGCTCTCCCAAATCCACTGTGTTGCCAGCTGACTGTGAGCATATCAAACTGCATCCCCTGAGAAACAACTTTATAGACTTTATGCTTCAGAGGAAGAAATAAATTACACCAAAATAATCTAGTCAATCAACAAACAAGTAAATAAGCAAATAACAACAAGCCCCAGAAGACCAGTACCCAGTATTATTACAATATACTACCTAAAATTTTTCAACAAAAAATTATGAGACATATAAAGAAGCAGGAAAGAATAAGCAATACACTGAAAAAAAATTGTAGACAACAGAAACTGCCTGGAAGACTTACCAGATGTCAGATTTAACAGACATCAGATGTCAGATTGAACAGAAAAAGTTTTCAAAGTAGAGATTATAAATAATTTCAAATAATATTTTCAAATAAAATGGGCCATGATTTAAAAAGTATGATTACAATGTCACATCAAAAGACACCTAAAAGTGAAAAAGCTAAAGCTAAAGACAATAAGAAAATTTTGACTACATCAAGATAAAAATGACTCATCACTTAGACTGAAACTCCAGGAAGATTAACAGCTGATGTCTCAGCAGAATTAATTGAGGCCAGAAGGACAACATATTCAGAATGAACCAAAAAAAGCAATTATTAACCAAGAATTCTATATCCACCAAAATAAGGTAAAATAATGACATGTCCTAATAAAAACAGAGGGAATGTGTTGCTAGCAGACCTACCTTATAAGAAGTACTAAAAGAAATTCATGCTACAAACAAGTGAACCCTGAGAGTAATTGGAATATATATATGAAAAAAGCAAAAAGAACCAGGAAAGGTAATTATCTAATTGTAAAAGTCAAGGCATTTCTTTTCCTTTCTTCTTCTAAAAGATTTTAAAAGTAATTGTATAAAGAAGTATATAATGTGATGTTGAGCCTATAACATAAAAATGTAATATTGGTCAATAATAGAACAAAAGAGGTGGGTGGGGGCAAAGCTGTATTGGATTAAGGAAATGACTTCAGATGGCAACTTGTATGCACAGGAACAAATGAAGAGAACCAGAAATGATAAATTAAAAGGCTAACACAACAAAAGCTATAAATGTGTGTGTGTGTTTGTGTGTGTCTGTATTTGCTCTCCTCAATATCCTTAAAAAACATAAAAGCGTGTAAATTTATCATTACAACAATGCATTGTTGGGTTTGTAATATTCAGATATTAGATGTAATAGATGTAATATGAATAAGAATAGTATCACAAAAATGGGGGGAAGGGAACAAAGGTATATAGAAGTAACATTTCTGTATCTCACTAGAATTAATTTAGTATAAATCTCAAACTGATTATTATAAGTCACAGTGTATATAGAAAAACCCTAGAGTAACCACTAATAACTCAAAAATATAGTGAAAAAATAATTTAAAAAATTAAAATGCTACATTATAAAATATTCACTTCATGCAAAAGAAAGCAGTAAAGCAGAAACAGAGGAACAAGAGAAACATGAGATATATAAAAAACAAAAATGGCAAACATAATTCCAACTATATCAATAATAGCATTAAAGGTGAATGGACTAAATAATCCAGTCAAAAGGCAGAGATTCTCAGACTAGATCAAAAAACAAGAGTCAATACATGCTATCTATGGGAAACACACTTTAGATTCAAAATACAAATAGACTTAAAGTAAAAAGATGAAAGAGAAATATCATGCAAACAGCAACCACAAGAAAGTTGGAATGGTTATACAATTACCTGACAAAATATACCTTAAAACAAAAGATATTACTATAGATAAAAGAAGATGTTTTTTAAAAGGTCAATTAACCAGAAAGATACATCAATCAAAAATATATATGCACCTAACAACAGAGCACCAATACATATGAAGCATAAATTGATTTAAATGAAGAGAGAAATAGACAATTCATCAATAATTGGGTACTTCAATACCCAATTTTCACTCATGGGTAGAACACTAAGCATAAGAACCACAAGGGTGTAGGAGATAAAAACAGACATAAGCACCACCTACTGGCCTGGAAGTTGAATGGTGCAACACAACAGGAAATCTGCTGACTCAAGTGCAGAGTACTGGAGAATGAAATAAGCTTCCTGAGACTTCCATCACCCTGAGCCCACAGGAGGCAGTGAGTGAGGCTGCTCACATGCTTAGCACATCACTACAACAACCAGCATTTGAGAAAGTCACCATACAAAGGCTATTACCAAAGAATTTATACAGACTCTTTGCCACTGAAAATACCCAGAACCAAACCCAAAGGACACTACACCACATCATACAGTACAGACACCTCCTCAAGGGGGCAAAATAATCCTGTCCAAAGGGAAGCAAAATTAAAAAATAAGAAGGAGAGACAGCTTATCCAGATAAGAAACAACCAGGGAAACAACTCTGAAAGTATGGAAAAAACAGAATGTAACAACACCCCCAAAGGGGAATACTAACTCCTCAGAACAAATCCTAACCAAAATGAAGTCTTTGAAATATCAGATAAATAATTCAAAATACTGATTTTAAAGAAGCTCAGTGAGATCCAAGAAAAAGCAGAAAACCCATACAAATAGAAAAGCAATTTAGGACATGAAAGAAGAGATAAATGTCATTTAAAAAAATACACACACACAAAACTTCTAGAAATAAAAGATTCAGTCAAGGAGTTACAAAATACATTGAAAGTGTTAACAATAGGCCAAGTGGAAGAAAGAATTTCAGAGCTGGAAGACAGGTCTTTCAAATTAACTCAGTCAGACATAATATTTAAAAAATTTTTTTTAATGAACAAAGCCTTTGTGAAATATAAAAGTGTACAAACCTGTAAGTTATAGGTATTCCAGAGGGAGAAGAAGAAAAAGCAAAAAGTGTGAAAAACCTATTTGCAGAAATACTTCAAGAAAACTTCCCTGGTTTTAGGAGAGATTTTGACATCCAGATACAAGAAGCTCAGAGAATTTCTGGATAATACATTGCAAGAACTTCACCAAGACTATCCAAAGTCAATGTAAACAAAATAATCCTGAATGGCAAGAGAGAAGTGTCTAATTGCATTTATATATATATAATCATATCGGACTAGTAGCTGTCTTCTCAGCAGAAAACTTACAATCCAGAAGAGATTGGGGGTCTATTTTTAGCATCTTTAAAGAAAAAAAAATGCCACCCAATAATTTTATATCCTGTCAGATTAAGCTTCATAAATCAAGGAGAAATAGGGAATTCATCAACACTAGACTGGTCCTCCAAGAAATGCTCGAAGGAGTTTTGTTTTTGTTGTTGTTGTTTTAGTAGAGATGGTGTCTCACTATGTTGACCAGGCTGGTCTAAAACTCTTGGCCTCAAGCAATCCTCCCACTTAGCTTCCCAAAGTGCTGGAATGACAGGCATGAGCCACTGCCCAACCTCAAAGGAGTTCTAAACATGGAAATTAAACAACAACATTCACCATCATAAAAGATCACATAAGTAAAAAGCTCACAGACCTTATAAAGCAATTACACAATTGAAATCCCAAGGCAATCAGCTAACAACAACATGATAGAAACAAAACCTCACATATCAATATTAACCTTGAATGTATGTGGCCTAAATGCTCCACTTAAAAGATACAGAGTGGCAAACTGTATAAAAAAGGAAAACCCAAACATGTACTGCCTACAAGAGACATACATACTGGCTAAAGACAGCTATAGAATCAAAGTAAATGGGTTGAAAAAGATATATCACGCAAATGGAAAACAAAAGCAAGAGAGAGTAGTCATCCTCAATCAAATAAAACAGACTTTAAACCAACAACAGTTAAAAAAAAAAGGGGGCAAAAAAGGTCATTATAAAATGATAAAGAAGTCAATACAACAGGAAGATTTAACTATCCTAAATATATCTGCACCCAACACTGGAGCACCCAGATTCATAAAATAAATACTACTAGACCTAAGAAAACATATTGATAGCAATATAATAAGAGTGGGGGACTTCAGCACCCCACTGACATCACTAGACAGATCATCAAGGCAGAAAATCAACAAAGAAACTCTGGACTTCAACTGGGATGTAGACCAAATGAATCTAATAGAGATTCACAGAACATTTTATCTAACAGAATATACATTCTTCTCACCTCCACATGGAATATATTCCAAAATTGACTATATATTTGCCCATAAAGCAAGTATCAATAAACTCAGAAAATCAAAATAATAACAAGTATCTTCTCAGATCACAGTAGAATAAAATTATAAATCAATACCAAGAGGAACTCTCAAAACTACACAAGTACATGAAAGCAAAACTACTTGCTCCCAAATGACCTTTGGGTAAATAATAAATTAAGGCAGAAATTGAAAGACTTCTTGAAACAAATAAAAATAGAGACACAACATACTAAAATCTCTAGTATACAGCAAAAGCAGTGCTAAGAGGAAATTCTGTAGCATTAAATGCCCTTATAAAAAAAGATAGAAAAATCTCAAATTAACAACCTAACATTGAACCTCAAGGAACTAGAAAAATAATAATAATCCAAACCCAAAACTAGTAGCAGAAAAGAAATAACAAAGATCAAAGCAGAACTAAATGAGATTGAGATTATTTTTAAAGACATAATGAATCAATGCGACAAAAAGTTAGTTTTTTAAAAGGATAAACAAAATTGATAGATTGCTAGCTAGATTAACCAAGAAAGAGAGATTCAAATAATTATAATCAGAAATGAGAAAAGGGACATTAAAAATGATGCCACAGAAATACAAAAGATCCTCAGAGACTACTATAAACACCTCTATGCACACAAACTAGAAAACCTAGAGGAAATTGATAAATTCCTGGAAACCTACAACCCTCCAAGATTGAACCAGGAATAAATAGAGATCCTGAACAGACCAATAATAAGTAATGAAATTGAGTGAGTAATAAAAAAATCTTTCAACAAATAAAAGCCCAGGACCGGAGAGATTCATAGCCAAATTTCACCAGATACACAGAGAAGAGCTGCTACCAATCTTACTGAAAATATTCCAAAAACTCAAGGAGGAGGGATTCCTCTGTGACTCATTCAATGAAACCAGTATCATCATGACACCAAAATCAGGCCAGTACACGCACACAGAAAAGCAAACTACAGACTAATATCTCTGATGAGTATAGAGGCAAAAATTCTCAAGAAAAAACCAGCAAACTGAATCCAACAGCACATCAGAAAAATAATTAATTATGATCAAGTGGGTTTTATTTCTGGGATGCAAGTACGGTTTAACATCTGCAAATTGAAAAGGGTGATTCATCACACATACAAAACTAAAAAGAAAAACCATATGATTATCTCAATACATGAAAAAAGGCATTCAATAAAATCCAAAGTCCCTTCATAATAAAAACCCTCAACAAACTAGGCATCAAAAGACCATACCTGGCTGCTCTGCCTATGGAGTAGCCACTATTTTATTCCTCTAAAAAAAATAAAAATAAAAATAAAAAAGTACCTAAAAATATAAGACCCACCTACAACAAACCCACAGTCAACATTATACTAAATGGAAAAAAGTTGATTGCATTACCTTTAAGAACTGGAACAAGACAAGCATATCCAATCTCAGCATTCCTATTGCACATAGTACTAGGAGCACTACTCAGAGCAATCAGGTAAAAGAAAAAAAGCATCCAAATTGGAAAAGAGGAAGTCAAATTATCTCTGCCCACTGATCACATGACCATATACCTAGAAAACCCTAAAGACTCCTCCAAAAACCCCTAGACTTGATAAACAAATTTCAATATACAAAATAAACATACATAAATCGACAGCATTTCTATACACCAATAACATTTAAGCTGAGCGCCAAATCAAGAACTCAATCTCATTGGCAATAGCCACACACACACACACAAAATACCTAGCAA
Organism: Homo sapiens; assembly: GCF_000001405.40. NCBI lineage: Eukaryota > Metazoa > Chordata > Mammalia > Primates > Hominidae > Homo > Homo sapiens. The sequence continues at coordinate 102,297,389 of NC_000012.12, read as the reverse complement.
TTAATTTAATCAAGAAGGTGAAAGATCTCTACAAGGAAAACTACAAAATACTGTTGAAATAAATCATAGATAACACAAATGGGGAAACATCCCACACTCATGGATTGGAAGAATCAGTATTGTTAAAATTACCATACTGCTTAAATTAATCTACACATTCAACTCCTATCAAATTACCAATGTCATATTCCACAGAATTAGAAAAAAATTCTAAAGTTCACATGGAATCAAAAAAGAGCCTGAATAGCCAAAGAAATCCTAAGCAAAATGAACAAATCTGGAGGCATCACATTGCCTGACTTCAAATTATAATACAAGGCTACATTGACTAAAACAGCATGATACTAGTACAAAAATGGCACAAATATCAATGGAACGGAATAGAAAACCTGGATATAAAGCCACAAACTAACAATCAACTGATTTTTGACAAAGTCAACAAAGATAAACAATGGTGAAAGGACACCCTATTCAATAAATAGTGCTGGGAAAATTGGCTAGCCATATGCAGAAGAATGAAACTGGACCTCTATCTCTCACCATATACAACAATTAACCCAAGATGGATTAAAGATTTAAATGTAAGACCTGAAACTATAAAAATCCTAGAAGAAAACATAGAAAAAACTATTCTGGACATTGGCATAGGCAAATAATTTTATGATGAAGATCCCAAAGGCAAATGTAACAGGAATGAAAATAGACAAATTGGACTTAATTAAACTAAAAAGCAAAAGAAATAATCAACAGAGTAAACAGACCACCCACCAAATGAGAGAAAATATTTGCAAATTATGCCTCTGACAAAGGACTAATATCCAGAATCTATAAGGAATATAAATAACTCAACAAGAAAATAACAACCCCATTAAAACTTGGGAGAAGAATATGAATAGACATTTCTCAAAAGAAAAAATACAAGCAGCCAACAAACACATGAAAAAGTGCTTAACATCAGCAATCATCAGAGAATTGCAAATTAAAATCAGAATATCATCTTATACCAGTCAGAATGGCTACTATTAAAAGGTGAAAAAACAATAAATGGCATGGATGTGGAGAAAAGGGAACATTTGTACATTATTGGTGAGAATTTGAACTAGTTCAACCTCCATGGAAAACAGTATGGAGATTTCTCAAATAACTAAAAATAGAACTACCACTGGACCCAGCAATCCCACTACTGGCTATCCACCCAAAGAAAAGGAAACAATCATATCAAAAAGGCATCCGTATTTGTATGTTCATTGCAGCATTATTCACAATAGCCAAGTCATGGAAGCAACCTAAGTGTCCATCAACAGTTGACCAGATAAAGAAAATGTGGCATACATACACGATGGGATACTACGTAGCCATAAAGAATGAAATTATGTCCTTTGCAGCAACATGGATGGAGCTGGAGGCCATTATACTAAGTGAACTAACTCAGAAACAGAAAATCAAATACCACATGTTCTCACTTACAATAGGGAGCTAAACAATGGATACACATGGACCTAAAGATGGAAATAATAGACACTAGAGACTCCAAATGAGAGGAGGTTGTGGAGGGGAGCAAGGGATAAAAAACTATCTATCAGGTACAGTGTTCACCATTTGGGTAATGGGTAAACTAGAAGCCCAGTCCCCACCAGTACACAATATACCGATGTAACAAACAAGCACATATACACCCTGTGGATAAAATAAAATAAATAAAAAGAACTGGGAGTCCAGAATAAAACCATGTGTCTTTAGTCAACTTATTTTTTACAAAGGTGTCAAGACAATTCAATAGTGAAAGAATAGCTCTTTCAACAAATCATTGCTAAAACAACTACATAGCCACATGCCAAAAAAAAAAAAAAAAATGGGCCCTTACCTCACACCATAGGTAATAATTAATCCAAGATGGATTAAGAATATACACGTAACAGCTAAAACTATAAAACTCTCAGAAGAAAATATAAAGGAAATATCTTCATGCCTTGGATTTTGAAATGGATATGACACCAAAAGCATGAGCAAGAAATGAAAAATTAGATAAGTTGGCTTTAATTAAAATTAAAAACTTTTGTGCATCAAAGGAACTATCAACAAGGTAAAAGAAAACCCACAGAATTAGAGGAAATATTTGCAAATCATATGTCTGCTAAGGGCATAGTATGCAGAATATATAAGAACTCTTACAACTCAACAATTCAACAATAAGAAGACAATTTTAAAATGAGCAATCTCAGAAAACATTTATCCACAGAAAATATACAAATGGCCAATAAACACAAGAAAAAAATGCTTGACATCATTAGTCATGAGTTTCCTGGGGCTGCCATAACAAAATACCATAGAGCAGGTGGCAGAAAAAAATTTTTTCACAGTTCTGGAATCTAGAAGAACAAGATCAAGGTGTCAGCAGGTTTTCTTTCTTCTGAGGCCCTTCTCTTTGGCTTGCATATGTTTGTCTTCTTGCTCTGTCTTCACATGGTCTTTCTTTTGTGCACATAGATCCCTGGTGTCTCTCTATTTGTCCTAATCTTCTCTTCTTATAAGGATATCAGTCAGATTGGGCTAGGGCTCACCCTAACAGCCTCATTTTAACTTAATTACCTATTTAAAAGGCCCTATCTCCAAACACAGTCACATTCTGAAATACAGGAGATAAGGGATTCAACATATGAACCCAGGAAGTTTGGGGAAGATAATTCAGGTCATAACCATTATAATGGGAATGCATATCAAAACCTTAATGAGATATCACTTTATACCCAGTAGGATGCCTAGAATCAAAAAGTCATATAATAACAATGTTGGAGAAGATATGGAGGAATCGGAATGCTCATATACTGCTGGTAGGGATGCAAAATGATGTAGCCTTTGGAAAACAATCTGAAAGTTCTTCAAACAGTTAAACTTAGGGTTACCATATGACCCAGTAGTTCTACTTATCGATATATACCCAAGAGGAATGAAATCATATGTCTACATAAAAACTTTTCCATCAGCTAATTAATGGATACATAAAAATGTGTTGTGTCTATATAGTGGGATAATATTCATCTATAAAAGGAAATAATCTCAGCACTTCGGAAGGCCAAGGAGTTGCAGATCATCCTGGGCAACATGGGGAAACCCCATTTCTACAAAAACAATTAGCTGGATGGAGTGGTGCACGCCTATAGTCCCAGTTACTCAGGAGGCTGAGGTAGGAGGATGGCTTGAGCCCAGGAGGTGGAGGCTGCAGTGAGCTGAAATCGTGCCACTGCACTCTAGCCTGGGAAACAGAGCCAGACTCTGTCTCAAAACCAAAAACAGGAATAAAGTACTGATAAATGCTACAATGTGGATGAACTTTGAAAACATTACACTAAGTGAAATAAGCTGATCACAAGGGCCTCGTGTTATATATGATTCCATCTATATGAATTGTCTAAAACTGGAAAATCTATAGAGACAGAAAGTAGATTAGTAGCTGCTTAGGGATATGGAAACTGGTGGACAGGCAGAAGATAGCTAAAGTACATGGGTTATCTTTTTGTGGTGATTGAAAGGTTCTAAAATTGACTGCAGATATGGTTATGCATACCTCTGTATATAATAAAAAATAATTGAATTTTATACTTGGATAAATTTTATGGTATGTGAATTATACTCAAGAAAGCTGTTAAATTTGAGATATATACATAGAAAGAAATATATAAATATCATATTACAGTGGGGTGTTAGTTCCCTGAAAGGATACTAGTCAGATTGGACTAGGGCTCACCCTAACAGCCTCAGTGGGGCTGCTGTAAAAAAGTTTCAGAGATCTTGGTGTATTAAAACACCACAAAATTAATTTCTTACAGTTTTGGAGGAGAGGAGTCTGGATCAGTTTCACTGGTATAAAATAAAGGTGCTGGCAGGGCCACGTTCTTCCTGGAAGCCTTAGGACAGAATTTGTTCCCTTGTCTTTTCCAGTTTCTAGAGGCCACCAGTACTCTTTGCTTTTGGCCCATTTCTCCATCTGCAAAATGCATCACTCCAATCTCTGCTTCGGTCAGCACATCACCTTCTCTCTTATGAGAACCCTTGTGATTACACTGGGCTTGCCTGGATAACCAAGGATAATCACCCCATCTCAAAATCCTTACCTTAATCGCACCTTGAAAAGTCCCTTTTAACAAACAAATTAACATTCACAGGTTCCAGGAATTAGATATCTTTGAGGGGCCATTACACAGTTCATCACAACTAGAAGGTAAATTGGAAATGAAATGGACATTCATTGTAAATGTTGCATCTAGGAGTAGAAACTCTGAATAGACTAATAATCCTTGAAAAAACTGAAAATAAAGAATTGCTTCCTTCAAATCCTTTGGGTCTAGGTGGTTCTACAGGAGAGGTCAGCATTTTGTGAAGATCTTTTCTGCATGCATTACAAAAGGACTCTCTAAAAATTTTTACCAAAGACTGTATAAGGTATTGTTAACTTTCTATCCACATATCTAATTTCCTACCGGATATCTCTTTTCTATAAAGATGTCTCACAAACACCTCAAGCTCAACATAGCCAAGGCTGAATTCAACCTCTACCTCCACAACTAGTTCCTTCATATGTGGTGTCTTATATATTTTTGAAAGTGTATATATTTAAAAACCTATCTGGCTTAAGCCAAAAAACAACTTATTAGTGCACATAAAAGAAAAGGTGCAGGGGGTGGGGCCAAGATGACTGACTAGAAACAGCTGTGGTCAGAGGCTCCCACTGAGAAGAATGAAAACAGCGAGTGAATCCTGCACTGACAACTGACGTATCCAGGTTCTCTCACTGGGACTGACTAGGTGATTGGTGTGACCCAAAGAGAGCAAGAAAAAGCAGGGTGGTACGATGGGCCACCTGGGAGCCACCCAGGGCAAGGAGAGCTCCCACCCCCAGCCAAGGGAAGCGGTGACTGAGTGTGCTAACCTGCCCAGGAAACTATGCTTTTTCCACAGATCCGTTCAACCCACTGATCAAGAGACCCCCTCGTGAGCCCATGCCACCAGGCTCTTGGGTCCCAAGCAGAGAGCTGTAAAGATTCTCAGCAGCCACTCTGCTAGAGACTGCCTAAGACTACTGAACTCCTGAGGGGAAGGGTGGACACCATCACTGCAATTGTCTGCTGCCTAAGATGACTAAGACAATGGAGCTCCAGGCAAGAGAGGCGGCAGCCATCACTGCAGCTCTAGTCTGCCTGTTTCCCCTGCTGGACTCAGGAAGACTGGGAGGTTCGAACCTAGGGAAAATTCCCCACAGCACAGCACAGCACAGTGGCTGTGGCAGATTGTGGCCAGACTGCCTCTTTAGGCTGGACCCTGACCCATCCCTCCTCACTGGGCAGGGCCTCCCTAAAGGAATTTTAGCAACTCCAGCCAGCGGTTTACAGACAGAACTCTAATCTCCCTGGAATGGAGCCTGTATTAGTCTGTTCTCATGCTGCTGATAAAGACATACCCAAGACTGGGCAATTTACAAAAGAAAGAGGTTTAATGGACTTACAGTTCCACATGGCTGGGGAGGCTTCAGAATCATGGCAGAAGGCAAGGAGGACCAACTCACGTCTTAACATGGATGGCAACAGGCAAAGAAAGAGAGCTTGTTCAGGGAAATTCCCATTTTTAAAACCATCAGATCTCATGAGACGTATTCACTGTCATGAGAACAGCATGGGGAAAGACTCATCTCCATGATTCAATTACCTCCCACTGGGTCCCTCCCAGATCATACGGGAATTCAAGATGATATGTGGGTGGGTACACAACCAAACCATATCATTCTGCCCCTGGACCCTCCCAAATCACATGTCCTCCCATTTCAAAAACAATCATGCCTTCCCAACAGTCCCTCAAAGTCTTAACTCATTTCAGCATTAACTTAAAAGTCCACAGTCCAAAGTCTCATCTGAGACAAGGCAAATGCCTTCCACCTATGAGCCTGTAAAATCAAAAACAAGTTAGTTACTTCCTAGATACAATGGGGGTACAGGCATTGGGTTAATATGGCCATTCCAAATAGGAGAAATTGGCCAGAACAAAGGGGCTACAAGCCCCATGCAAGTCCAAAACCCAGTGGAGCAGTCAAATTGTAAAGCTCCAAAATGATCTCCTTTGACTCCATGTCTCACATCCAGGTCACGCTGATGCAAGAGGTGGGTTCCTATGGTCTTGGGTGGCTTCACCCCTGTGGTTTTGAAGGGTACAGCCTCCCTCCCAGCTGCGTTCACGGGCTGGCATTGAGGGTCTGCAGCTTTTCCAGGCACATGGTGCAAGCTGTCAGTGGATCTGCCATTCTGGGGTCTGGAGGATTGTGGCCCTCTTCTCACAGCTCCACTAGGCAGTGTCTCAGCAGGGACTCTGTATGGGGGCTCCAATCCATACGTTTTCCTTCCACACTGCCCTAGCAGAGGTTCTCCATGAGGACCCCACCCCTGCAGCAAACTTCTGCCTGGGCATCCAGGCATTTTCATACAACTTCTGAAATCTAGGCAGAGGTTCCCAAACCCTAATTCTTGACATCTGTGCACTCACAGGCTCAACACTACATAGAAGCTGCCAAGGCTTGGGGCTTGCACCCTCTAAAGCTATGGCCCAAACTCTACATTGGCCCCTTTCAGCCATGGCTGGAGCATCTGGAACACAGGGCAACCAGTCTCTAGGCTGCACGCAGCATTGGAACCCTTGGCCCGGCCCATGAAATCACTTGTTCCTCCTAGGCCTCTGGGCCTATGATGCAAGGGGCTGCTGTGAAGACCTCTGACATGCCCTGGAGGTATTTTCCCCACAGTCTTGGGGATTAACACTTGGCTCCTCGTTACTTATGCAAATTTCTGCAGCCAGCTTGAATTTCTTCTTAGGAAATGGGATTTTCTTTTCAATCACATTGTCAGGCTGCAAATTTTCTGAACTGTTATGTTCTGCTTCCCTTATTAAACTGAATGACTTTAACACACCCAAGTCACCTCTTGAATGCTTTGCTGCTTATAAATTTCTTCCACCAGATACCCCAAATCATCTCTCTCAGTTCAAAGTTCCACAAATCTCTAGGGCAGGGACAAAATGCCGCCAGTCTCTTTGCTAAAACATAACAAGAGTCACTTTGCTCCAGTCCCAACAAGTTCCTTATCTCCATCTGAGACCACCTCAGCCTAGATCTCATTGTCCATATCATTATCAGCATTTTTGTCAAAGCCATTCAACATATCTCTAAGGAGTTCCAAACTTTCCCACATTGTCTTGTGTTCTTCTGAACCCTCCAAACTGTTCCAACCTCTGCCTGTTATATAGTTCCAAAGTCGCTTCCACAGTTTCAGGTATCTTTTCAGTAGTGCCCCACTCTACTGGTCCCAATTTACTGTATTAGTCTGTTCTCATACTGCTGATAAAGACACACCCAAGACTGAGCAATTTACAAACAAAAGTTTAAGGGACTTACATTTCCACATGCCTGGGGAGGCCTCACAGTCATGGCAGAAGGCAAGGAGGAGCAAGTCACATTTTACATGGATGGCAGAAGGCAAAGAAAGAGAGCTTGTTCAGAGAAACTCCCATTTTTAAAACCATCAGATCTCATGAGACTTATTCACTATCATGAGAAAGACTTATTCACAGCACGGGGAAAGACTTGCCCCCCATGATTCAATTACCTCCCACTGGGTTCATCCCACAACACATGGGAATTCAAGATAAGATTTGGGTGAAGACACAGCCAAACCATGTCAGAGTCCCTGAGGGAAGGGGAAACCATGGTCTCCACAGATCAGCCAACTTAGTCTTTCCCCCGCCGGCTCTGAGGAATCTGGGCAGTCCGGTGACTGGGATTCCCCCCAGCACAGCGCACCCCCTCTGCCAAGGGGCAGCCAGAGTGCTTTATTAAGTGGGTCCCTGAACCCATGCCTCCTGACTGGGTGAGACCCCCCAACGGGGGTCTCCAGACACCTTATACAGGAGTGTGTTCCCAATGGCATCATGTTGGTGCCCCTCTGGGACTGATCTCCTAGAGGAAGGAGCAGGCAGCCATCTTTGCTGTTCTGCAGCTTCCACTGGTGATACCTCCAGGTGTGGGAGGGACCCAGGTAAATAGGGTCTGGAGAGGATCCCCAGCAAATTGCAGCAGCCCTACAAAAGAGGGGCCTGGCTCTCAAAAGAAAAACAGAAAGCAACAACAACAACAGCATTAACAAAACAGTCCCCACCAAAACCCCACCCAAAGGTCAGCAGCCTCAAAGATCAAGCTGGATAAACTCACAAAGATGAGAATCAATGAAAAAATATGCTGAAAACTCAAAAAAGCCAGAGTGCCTCTTCTCCTCCAAATGATTGGAACACCTCTCCAGCAAGGACACAGAACTGGGCGGAGGCTGAGATGGATGAATTGACAGAAAAAGGCTTCAAACGGTGGGTAATACTCAAAAGAAGACATTTATGCAGCCAAAAGACACAAGAGAAAATGCTCATCATCACTGGCCATCAGAGAAATGCAAATCAAAACCACGATGAGATACCATCTCACACCAGTTAGAATGGCAATCATTAAAAAGTCAGGAAACAAAAGGTGCTGGAGAGGATGTGGAGAAATAGGAACACTTTTACACTGTTGGTGGGACTGTAAACTAGTTCAACCATTGTGGAAATCAGTGTGGCGATTCCTCAGGGATCTAGAACTAGAAATACCATTTGACCCAGCCATCCCATTACTGGGTATATACCCAAAGGATTATAAATCATACTGCTATAAAGACACACGCACACATATGTCTATTGCGACACTATTCACAATAGCAAAGACTTGGAACCAACCCAAATGTCCAACAATGATAGACTGGATTAAGAAAATGTGGCACATATACACCATGGAATACTATGCAGCCATAAAAATGATGAGTTCATGTCCTTTGTAGGGACATGGATGAAGCTGGAAACCGTCATTCTCAGCAAACTATCGCAAGGCCAAAAAACTAAACACCACATGTTCTCACTCATAGGTGGGAACTGAACAATCAGAACACATGGACACAGTAAGGGGAACATCGCACACCAGGGCCTGTTGTGGGGTTGGGGAAGCGGGGAGGGATAGCATTAGGAGATATACCTAATATTAAATGACGAGTTAATGGGTGCAGCACACCAACATGGCACATGTATACATATGTAACAAAACTGCATGTTGTGCACATGTACCCTAAAACTTAAAGTATAATAATAAAAAAAAAGGTGGGTAATAATGAACTTTTCTGATCCAAAGCAGTGTGTTCTAACCCAATGCAAGAAGCTGAGAACCATGATAAAACATTACAGGAGCTGTTATCCAGAATAACCAGTCTAGAGAGGAACATAAATGACCTGATGAAGCTGAAGAACACAACACAAGAACTTCACAATGCAACCACAAGTATCAATAGCCAAATGGACCAAGTGGAGGAAAGAATTTCAAAGCTTGAAGACAATTTTGCTGAAATAAGACAGGCGGACAAGTTTGGAGAAAAAAGAATGAAAAGGAACAAACAAAACCTCCGAGAACTATGGGGTTATGTAAGAAGACCAAACCTACAACTGATTGGGGTACATGAAAGAGACAGGGAGAATGGAACCAAGTTGGAAAACATACTTCAGGATCTCATCCAGGAGAACTTCCCCAACCTAGCAAGACAGGTCAACATTCAAATTCAGGAAATCCAGAGAACTCCAGTAAGATACTCCATGAGAAGATCAACCCCAAAACACATAATCATCAGAATCTCCAAGGTCAAAATGAAGGAAAAAATGTTAAGGGCAGCAAGAGAGAAAGGTCAGGTCACCTACAAAGAGAACCCCATCAGACTAACAGTGGCCCTCTCAGCAGAAACCCTATAAGCCAGAGGAGATAGGGGGCAATATTCAACATTCTTAAAGGAAGTAATTTCCTACCCAGAATTTCAAATCTGGGCAAACTAAGCTTCATAAGTGAAGGAGAAATAAAATCTCTTTCAGACAGGCAAATGCTGATGGAGTCTGTCACCACCAGGCTGGCCTTGTAAGAGCTCCTAAAGGAAGCACTAAATGTGGAAAGGAAAAAATGGTACCTGCCACTGCAAAAATACACTGAAGTACAAAGGCCAATGACACTGTGAAGCAACTATATCAACAAGCCTACAAAATAATCAGCTAGCATAATGATGGCAGGATCAAATTTATACATAACAATATTAGCCTTAAATGTAAATGGATTAAATTCCCCAATTAAAATACACAGAATAGCAAGCTGGATAAAGAGTCAAGACCCATCAGTGTGCTGTATTGAAAAGACCCATCTCATGTGCAAAGACACACATAGGCTCAAAATAAAGAGATGGAGGAAAATTTACCAAGCAAATGGAAAGCAGAAAAAAGCAGGGGTTGCAATCCTAGTTTCTGACAAAACAGACTTTAAACCAAAAAATATCAAAAAGGACAAAGAGAGCATTACATAATGGTAAAGGGTTCGATTCAACAAGAAGAGTTAACTATCCTAAATATATATGCACCCAATACAGGAGCACCCAGATTCATAACACAAGTTCTTAGAGACCTACAGAGAGACTTAGACTCCCACACAATAATAGTGGGAGACTTTAATACCCCACTGTTAATATTAGACAGATTATTGAGACAGAAAATTACCAAGGATATTGAGGACTTGAACTCAGCTCTGGATCAAATGGAACTGATAGATATCTACAGAAATCTCCACCCAAAAACAACAAATATACATTCTTCTTAGTGCCACATGGCACTTACTCTAAAACTGATCACATAACTGGAAGTAAAACACTCCTCAACAAATGCAAAAGAACTGACATAATAATAAACAGTCTCTCAGACTACAGCAGAATCAAATTAGATCTCAAGATTAAGAAACTCACTGAAAACCACCCAACTACATGGAAATTGAACAACTTGTTCCTGAATGACTCCTGGGTAAATAATGAAATTAAGGCAGAAATCAAGAAGTTATTTGAAACCAATGAGAACAAAGAGACACTGTACCAGAATCTCTGGGATTCAGCTAAAGGAGTATTAAGAGGGAAATTTAGAGCACTAAATGCCCACATTAAAAAAACTACAAAGATCTCAAATTGACACTAACATCACAAGCAAAAGAACTAGAGAACCAAGAGCAAACAAACCCCAAAGCTAGCAGAATAAAATAAATAACCAAGATCAGGGTGGTACAGAAGGGGAGAGAAACATGAAAAACCCTTCAAAAAATTCAATGGATCCAAGAGCTGGTTTTTTTGAAAAAAATTAATAAGATAGACTGCTAGCTAGACTAATAAAGAAGAAAAGATAGAAGAATTAAACAGACACAATAAAAAATGATAAGAGGGATACCACCACTGACCCCACAGAAATACGAACAACCATCAGCGAATACTATAAACACCTATATGCAAATAAACTAGAAAATCTAGAAGAAATTGATAAATTCCTGGACACAAACACCCTCCCAAGACTGAACCAGGAAGAAGTTGAATCCCTGAATAGACCAATAACAAGTTCTGAAACTGAGGCAATAATAAATAGCCTACTAACCAAAAAAATACCCAGAGCCAGACGGATTTACAGCTGAATTCTACCAGAGGTACAAAGAGGAGTTGGTACCATTTCTTCTGAAACTGGAACTCTCACAGACTACCAGTGGGAGAGCTAAATGGTTCCACTACTTTGGGAAAGAATGTGGTAGTTTCTTAAAAAATTAGACATGCAATTATCCTCAGCAAACTAACACAGGAACAGAAAACCAAACACCGCGTGTTCTCACTTATAAGTGAGAGCAGAACAATGAGAACACATGGACACAGGGAGGGGAACAACACACACTGGGGCCTGTCGGGGTGGGGGATCGGGAGAGGGAGAGTATCAGGATAAACAGCTAATGCATGCGGGGCTTAATACCTAGGTGATGGCTTGGTAGGTGCAGCAAATCATCATGGCGCACATTTACCTGTGTAACAAACCTGCACGTCCTGCACATGTATATTGGAACTTAAAATTAAATTAAATTTAAAAAAAGAAAAGAAAAAGCGCAAGGGAGAGGATGACATAGGCATAGCTAGATTCAGTACTTAAAGGGCATTCTCAGAATTTTCTTCTCTCTCTCAGCTCTGCTTTCCACTGCGTTGGCTCCTTTCTCGCAGACATTCCTCTAGTGGGTTCAAGATAACTGCTTCAGCTCCAACAATTCACACTCCCATGCCTTTTTCAACAAGTCCCACCAAAGCTATCAGACTCACTCTAACTGTGTCAGCTTAGTTGCTGTGACCAACCCTGACATGTGGCTGGGAGAATGTGATGCACTAATTGGTCCAATCTGGTTCATGTGCTCCACCCTTGGAGCTGGAGGTGGAATCAACTCCATCTAAGAGCACATGAATTGAGATTGAGCAGGAGTTGCTCCTAGTTGACAATTGAGACATAATTACCAAGGATATATACTGACTAGCCACAACCACTGTCCATTCATTACAGACAATGTTTCCTGTCTCAGTAGATGGCATCAATCACATGCTCAATCTAGAAACCTGGGAATCCATCTTTAGGTCTTCTTTCTCACTCTCACTCCATATCTAGCACTGTATTATTACCAAGTCCTTCTGACTCTTTTCCCATAAACGTCTCTTAGATTTCTCAAGTTCTTTTTCTATTCACCCCTACCACTCTAGTTCCAAGCCTCCAACATCTTTCTCTTGGATGGTGCACTGGCATTTTAACTGATCTTCCTATATCAACTTTTAAACTCACTTTAGTATATTACCTACACTGGAGTTGGAGAGATCTGAAAACTAAAATATGAACATGACACCCTTCTCTTCTACACCTTCAGTGATTGCCTATTCTTCTCAGAATAGAGAGGTTTGTGCACCATCCCCTGTCATGAACTATATAGTGCATTTAACTGAGCCTTGTTAAGTCCTTAAATGTGTCATACTCTCTTTCCCCTGTATCATGGATCCTCTGGCTACCCTGTCTTCTTGAAACTGCATTCCTCCACACCATTCACTATCACATGGCAAGCCCCTACCCATCTGTCTAATCTGTTTGCATTGCTATAAAGGAACACCTGAGACTAGGTAATTTATAAATAAAAGAGGTTTATTTGGTTCATGGTTCTGCAGGCTGTACAAGAAGCATGGCAAGAGCAGCTATGTCTGGGAAGGACATCAGGAAGCTTCCACTCATGGCAGAAGGCAAAGGGAGGAGGCATCACACAGCAAGAGCAGAAGGAAGAGACGGGGTGGGAGGAAGGTGGCACTCTTTTTAACAACCAGATCTCACGGGAATAAGAGTGTGAACTCACTCAGTCTCACAAGAATGACAAAGCCATTCATGAGGGATCCACCTCCATAACCCAAACACCTCCCACTGGACCCCACTTTCAACACTGGGGATCAAATTTCAACATGAGATTTGGAGGGTACAAGCTATATCACCATTCTTCAGATCTCAGCTTAGACACTGCTTAGACCAGAAAAACTTTCCTGATACCCTTAGTCTGGTAAGGGGTCCTCCATTAGGCAATTGTGGCACCCTACACTACCCTATGATAGCAGTTATCATACTGTATTACAATGACCCATGTGTTTGCCTGAATATTTCACCAAACTTTACATTTTATGATAGAAGTAAAGATGAGTACTTGTTCATCGTGGCATCCCCAGCACCCACAGCACAGTTTCAGTGTAACAGGTGCTTAATACTTGTTAAAAATAATAATAGCTAATGTTTACTAAGAGCCTGATATGTACCAGCTACTACTTGAAGTGTTCTACATGTGCTGACTCATTTAATCCACCGACAGTTAATCCACCTTCTGGTTTATAGATGAGAAATCCAAGGCATAGGAGGTTTGAGTGAATTACAAAGGTCATAGCACTGAAGGTTATGGAGCCAAGATTTGAACCTAAGCAGTCTGGTTGCAGAAGCCAAGTTTTTAACCACTATGCTATATTCTTAAATGTACACGAGCATGCAAAAATGCTGTCCTAGATATTTTGAGGAATACAAAAATGACAGGGGAAGTGGAATAAAAAAGTATACAGATACATAAAATACCCAACAGAGAATTATATAATATAAGGCTTTCTCGATTTTAGAACACACAAACAGTAACAAAATCTTTCTGTTTGGTGAGGTGGGATTTGCTCACAGAGAAATATTTCAGTATAAAAATTCCTGAATTCAAATATGTTTGTGATTCAATTATACAGTGGCAGTTGATATTTATGTTGAAAATGAAAAATAAGACCAACAAGTTATTCTGGACACCAAATCATGTTTAAACTGCTACATTTATGTTTTGAAATATTTTTCTATAACTGCTAAACTTTTCAACAGGACCAGCTCTCTGACATTTCTTAAGAATTCCCATACAAAGTCTAGTTTTACCTGCTTAAAAAAAAAAGATATTATGACTGTCTGATACCTGGGTCGATAAGTAATTAAAGTAAAGGAGACTTCCCTCACAATCCCCCAAAATTAAGGTAAAGTTTAGGGAAAATGTTTTATAAGCATAACAAAAGTAGTTATCAATTAATCATTACTTCCTTCATTACAAGAGTACTTAATAAATGCTTTAACTAGTTCTAAGACTGTTCAAGGTAGATATTGGAACACATAGAGAATAAAAGCCTACTTTGCAAATTCAACTGAAAGAAATGCTACTGTTGATATAATTTGTGAGTCTCTGAACCCAGTTTAACGAGGTTGTGGTTAAAGTGATACAGTTTTTAGTGACCAGGAGCATCTTCCAAAAGAAACAGTGACCACTTGCTGATGATGATCAAAAATACTCTTGGTAGAATCTTTCTAACAAGTATAAAATAATATTGCTATTTTATTACATTGATGGAAAATGTTAAATTAATAGAATTGTATGCACATTCATGATAAATATGAGTGAGTTTGACTTTGTCTCTGAAAATTGGGAAGGTGAATGCATTTAGTGATGCTCAAATAACAATACTCTTAGCATAGTGAATGTTAGAATAGTCAGTCTGCAGAGGAAATATGTAGATGCTCATTCTCTAACATGTATTATTTAAATTGGCCTAACCACAAAGAGTGAAGAAAAGCTTACCTTTGTGAATTAATTGATGACCATCTTTGAAGTTATGATCCTCTGAATATAACAAACCATTAAAAACATATTCACTGCAAGTAAACATCCAATTTGGACCTGTTTAGTGAAAGGACAGTTTGAGACAGATAAAAGGCTGGACATTAAGATAATTTTGAAGAAATTTTTATTAAAGGAATAAATTTAACAAAATGTTAGTGAGTAGAGATGCTTAGAATTAAGATTTCATAAAGAATAATAACAAAGACCTATAATTCACTTTTCCATCTTGGAGAAGAGTTTATTCTCAGGTTTAAAATGTCCCAAATATTTTTGTTCTAATAACTATTTCCTTAGGAAACCTTTTGTTTACATGTAGCCCAAAGTTAAAATTTTATTCTTATACAAATGGTTATAAATTCTTAATGGAATTTATCTGCATTTACAAAATTATCATGTGACCATTTCAACATATATAAATGTTATATTTGCAAAATAAGAAACTTATTTTGTGAATGTGATTAGTTCCAGAGAGTCCGAGTATGACTCTCTAAACCAACACTGCAAAATTTCCGTAAAGATTAAAACTCTTCATAGGGAAAGAAGTAATGGCTGAAAAAGAAAGCAAAATAATCAGGAATAAAAATGAAAAATGTAAAATGTTATTTTCTATGAGTGTCAAACTTGAATAATTTATTCATTAGCTTTGTTAGCTGAAGAGAAAGTAATTTTGAGTAGTTACTGTAAAAGGTCAGATGGAAAACAAATTTCCTCTGTGTCAATAGGTTAACAAAATGTTATGCTTGCTGACTGTAGAAAGAGGGCAACTCAGAGAACACTTGACCTGATTAGCTCATCAGCAACCCATTAGGAGGTTTTTCTTGGAAAAGAAATGGGGAACCCATTTGCACTATTTTCATTACCTTCCAGACTTTGTATGCTGTTGTGTAGCAGATGCTTAGCTACTAGTGGGCACTTGATGAGCAATTACTGGAATATCTGAGTTCTGGTTTAAATTTTCAGGAATCCTGATCCTTCCAGGTTCCACAGGAAACTAAAAGGGCAAATATTTCACACAAACGTTACCTTCATGACCAACTTCCATATATACATTCAAAGACATATGGTATACACAAATAAGTGATATATATAAGTACAGTCATGTGCCACATAATGACATTTTGGTCAATGACAAACTGCATATACATTAGTGGTCCCATAAGATTATAACAGAGCTGCTAATACCCCTGAAGGCCTTCCAACGGGACAAGATGTGGAGGTGGAAGACAGCAATATTGATGATCCTTATCTTGTATAGGTCTGTGATGGTTAATACTGAGTGTCAACTTGATTGGGTTGAAGGATGCAAAGTATTGATCCTGAGTGTGTCTGTGAGGGTGTTGTCAAAGGAGATTAACATTTAAGTCAGTGGGCTGGGGAAGGCAAACCCACTCATAATCTGGGTGGACACCATCTAATCAGCTACCACTGAATATAAAGCAGGCAGAATAACGTGAAAAGACTAGACTGGCCTAGCCTCCCAGCCTGTATCTCTCTCCCGTGCTGGATGCTTCCTGCCCTTGAACATTGGACTCCCAAGTTCTTCAGTTTTGGGACTCAGACTGGCTCTTCTTGCTCCTCAGCCTGCAGACGGCGTATTGTGAAACCTTGTGACCTATTGTAGAACCTTGTGATCATGTGAGTTAATACTTAATAAAATTCCCTTTATATATCTCTCTCCTATTAGTTCTGTCCCTCTACAGAACCTGACTAATACAAGGCCTAAACTAATGTGTGTGTTTGTACCATAGTTTTTACCAAAAACTTTAAAAAGTAAAAAATTAAAAATAGAAAAAAGCTTATGAAATAAAGATATAAAGAAAGAAAATATTTTTGTATAGCTGTACAATGTGTATATGTTATGTTTTATGCTAAATGTTATTACAAAAGAATCAAAAAGTTAAAAAATTTTAAAGCTTGTAAAGTAAAAATTTAATAGTAAGCTATGGTTAACTTACTGAATAAAGAAAAGTATTTTTAATAAATTTAGTGTAGCCTAAGTGCACAGTGTTTATAATGTCTACAGTAGTGTACAGTAATGTCCCAGGCCTTCACATTCACTCACTACTCACTTACTGACTCACCCAGAGAAACTTTGAGTCCTGCAAGTTCCATTTATTGTAAGTACCCTATACAGGTGCACCATTTTTGAATCTTTTATACCATATTTTTACTGCACTTCTTCTATGTTTAGATATGTGTAGATACCCAAATACCATTGTGTTACAGACACCTAAAGTATTCAGTACAGTAACATGCTGCACAGGTATGTAGCCTAGGAGCAATAGGCTATACCATATAGCCTAAGTGTGGAGTAGGTTTATGTACACCACACCACACTACACCATCTGGGTTTATGTACATATGGTACACTCTGTGATGTTCACGCAATGATGAAATGGCCTAATGATGCATTTCTCTGAACATATCCCTGTTAAGGGACACATAACTGAATGTATAAGCTTGTACATATCATGTATAACTCATGTTTAGATAAAACAGGTTGGGGAGGAGAAAGAGAGAGAGAGAAAGAGAGAGAGAGAGAATACTGTAAATATTTAAAGTTTGTGCTTACCTGCCCCCAACTTGACTCTGAGCTTCTTAGACGTAGAAGCTTTGCCTCCCAAGTTTCTAACACAGTGTCTGACACATCATAAATGTTCAGTAAGTGTTTTCTGAATGTATTTTTCTATTGACTGGATGTTCACAAGTCCTTTCAAAATAAATGTGGGTTTTTTTAAGTGGTGTCAACAGATATACCTGCATGTTGTCTCAATTTTGTTCATGTATACAGATCTCTCTACTTCTTTTAATAAATAATAATTAATTGGTAGGGCAGAAAATATCTTAACCTCCACATTCCTAAGGTTTGTTTTATGAATTTTGACTTCTGACTTCTTTTTTGGCCAAAATGATTTCTCACATTTATATATAGTGTTAAAAAGTTCTATGTACAAATAAAGAACTAAGATTTAAGTATTTCTTCCTTATTTTTAGGTTTAAAAAGAATTATGTGTTTGAATGGTGCAATTTACCTGCTTTATGTTTTGGCTAATTATTTTCAGTGGAATCTATCATTTAAATTTTATTTATTATCTAAGACTTTAAAAGTGATTATAAAAAATTTGAAAAATAAATAAAATCACAATGGACCAATATAAAGATCCTGTAACTCTGGGACCAGCCCAAACTGGGCCCATGTTGTTAATAACAAAATGTTGAGTTACCTTGTAGTAACAGAGCCAAAAACTGCAAGTCATGAAGCCCAGGCATGCACAACAGGAAAAGCTTTGACCTCTAACAATACCCAAAACAAATGATTTCTCTCCTCAAAGCCAACAAGACTGGAACATGACTGGAACCATAATACCAGAACTCTTTCTGAAGCAAGGGGTCTGTTGACCCAGAAGATCTAGAGCTAAAATTCACTTCAATATACCTTACCATAACTGGTCAAATTTGAACCCCTGCAATCAGATTCTACAAATCTACATTCCTAAATCTTTTCTCTTGCTCTCCAAGCCCATACACTTGCTCCAGACCCCAGATTGAGGAAACAGATTTGAGCTCACTCCTGACTCCTTGTTGACTCATTTTGCAATAAAGTCTTTCTTTTCTCAAAAGCTAGTGCTATAGTTATTGGTTTCTGTGTACATCAGGTAGTGAACCCATTTGCTTGATAACAATTCTGAAAACAAGGAAAGATATGAGTGTATTTATGAAAATAAATACAATTATTTTCATAAAATACTATATCATGAATTAATATTCAATAAAATTACAAAAATTATGGATTCTGGAAGTACAGAAAGAAACCTGAATCAAAAACAATGAAATACTGAGACAAAAGAGAACTAGAAAAATTTTAAAGCTATAATGAAGGAAATAATGTCATATAAATATCTTCTACATTACTACAAGTAGAAATTAAAATAGCAACACCACTGTAGACAAAAAAAATCACTTGTAAGGTTAGAAATGCTTGAGAAATTATCCAACAATATGAAGTAAATGAATCCAAAGGAGGAAAATGATAGATATAAAAAGACTTTGTTTCTAAAGAAATGATCAGAAGAAATGGAACACAGGTGATAAAGATATAATAAAATAACTATCTTATTTATCTGTGGGAAAACTCATGAAATCAGTAAATCAAAAAGGCTTCTTATGAACTAGGCAAAATTAATTTTAAAAAGTCATCACCTTAAAATATCCTGGTGCTATTTTTAAATTTCAAGGAAACTGAAGCAATTCTATAAGCATTCAGGTAAATGTAAAAGATTTCCTACAACTTCCAATTCCAGTAACAGCATTTCCAGTAACGAATTAGTCTATTCATAACAATTCTAATTGCTAAACTCATTTTCTTAAAAGAATCAAAGAAGGCTAGGAGCGATGGCTCACCTGTAATCCCAGCATTTTGGGAGGCCAAGGTGGGCAGATTGCTTGAGCTCAGGAATTTGAGACCAGCCTGGGCAACATGGTGAAACCCCGTTGTTACCAAAAATAAAAATAAAGCCAGAAGTGGTGGTGAGTGCCTGTACTCACAGCCATTCAGGAGGGTGAGGTGGAAGGATCACTTGAACCTGGGAGGAAAAGATTGCAGTGAGCCAAGATCCCACCACTGCACCCCAGCTAGGGTGACAGAGTGAGACCCTGTCTCAAAAAAAAAAAGAAAAAAAAAAAAGAATAAAAAATTTCGAAAGATTGTGAGGATGAGATACCAAGCCAAACTCTAGAAGAGAGCAAATATTCAGAAAAATGAACACCTCATTAAGCTGCTTTCTTTTTCCCCTGAGGAAATTTTCTGACCTAGATAAAATTGAGCTGAAGTTTAGAGGGCCTCAAGGGGCATGGGGTATATAAGTCAAGGTCCAGATCCATGAGAATCCAAATAGGAGACAAGCACATTAAACTAAAACTCTGAACTAAGTAAATGCACTTTCCTAATCACAATCCACATGTAGGGAACTTTCTAAGGGTGAGATTTCATGCTGAGCAGAGAAGGGGGAAATCGAATCTTTAAAAAGTTGTCCCTTAAAACTGGTAACCACAAGTGAACTCTTGCATGGATTTTCAGCCCTGTCTCACATTAGTGGAGTGGTCCAGGAATCCTCAAGCTGTAAATTTAGTTTAAAGTAATTCTGGGATGGTTATGCGCCTAGGGATCCAACAGGAGTAAATACAAATTCTAACTAGAGGAGGAACTTTAAGGCCTAGGGAATCCCCATAAATAATTTTTAAGGAAACGTGGTGGTACATAGTCAAAAATAACCAAGCCCACAAGGAAAAATGATACCATAAGGGAGACCAGAAACATGAACGGCCAGTGAAAAGAGAGTCACAAAGATGTCAGATATTGGAATAGTCAGACACAGATTATAAAGTGAATAGGCTTGTAATGTTTGAAGAAATAAGTCAAGATTGAAAATACCCAAAGGGAAGTAGAAATATGACCTACAAGATACGAAAAAGAACAAATAAGAGCCTTAAGAAATAAAAATACAATATCTAATTTTAAAAACTGAATTGGATGTGTTTAGCAACATACTGAACAAAACAAAAGATAAAATTGCTGAGCTAGAAAATAGGCCATTAAAAAACTCACTGTAGCATAGAAAGAAAGACCAATACAGAAAATATGAAAAACAAGAGACAATAGAAGACAAAGACATGCAAAGATTGCTTTGCTTGGAGAAGAAGGGAAGAGATGTGTAACACAATATTTGAAGAGATAAATGACTGGTAGTTTTCTACAAATGATGGAAGATACCAACCCACATATTCGAAAAGCTGGAAGAATCACAAGCCAGATAAATTAAAATGTACCCAAATTAGATATTTCAGAGTCAAAAGTATAGAAAAATAAAGACAAAGTCTTAAAAGCAACCAGAGAGAAGAATAGATTACTGTATTAATTATACTTTATTTTCTTTATTCTTGATGTTCTGGCATCTGAGGCCTCACTGACCAGGAAAGGACTGCCCCTGCCAGGGTTACATAATTCCTAAAGATAGCAAACAACTCACAACTTTCACATGCAATCTAACCAATCCAGGGCACAATCCCCTATCTCCTCTATGTGGCTCTTACTCTTTAGGCCAATATTCAACTGCCTCAATCAACCCAGGATCAAATATCAGACAACTCAAGACATCTCCTACAGCCCAGAGCCTGCTGAAATTATTCAAACTAGCCAATCCTGAAACCATTCGCCCTGCCTCACCTATTCTTTTATAGTTCATTTTACATGTCAACTTGACTGGGCTACAGGGTGCCCAGACATTTGGCCAGACATTACTCTGGATGTGTATAGGAAAGTGTTTCTGGATGAGATTAACATTTAAATAGGTAGGCTGAGTAAAGCAGACTGCCTTCTCTAATGTGGGTGGGCCTCATCCAAATAGTGGAAGACCTGATTAGAATGAAAAGGCTGAGTAAGAGGAAACTCCTCCTGCCTGAATTCTTGAACTGGGACATTGGTCTTTTCTTTCTCTTACCCTTGAAATGAAAAATTGGCTCTTCTTGGCTTCCCAGTCTGACAACTTTTGAACTGGAACTTACACCATCAGATCTTCTCATAGGCTTTCAGACTTGGACTGGAACTACTGGACTGAAATCAGCTCTCCTGGATCTCCAGCTTCTTGACTTCAGATCTTGAAACTTCTCAGTCTCTATAATTACCAGAGCCAATTTCTTATGATAAATCTATCTAGCTATCAATCTCTCTACCTATCACATTATTCATTCTGTTTCTCTGAAGAACCTTGACTAATACACATTCCTTTATACAGAAGCCACAATAATGCCTTTTGACCATGTTTTGTTTCCATTCTTTCTGCTTCCTGACCAACCTGGTGTTTCTCCATGTGATATTACATAGCATGCATGTCCCCTCCTGTTGAGAGCTGTGAAGAACAAACTATCTTTTTAATGGCAGTAGTCTCCTGATCTGATGGCCTCAATATACCTGAATTATAATAAAACCTATATTTTAAAATAATTACCTTGAGAGAAACAACAGTTAGAAAAGACAGCTGACTTCTCAATAACAACAATGAAAACTAGAAGACAAAGGAATATCTTTGTGTCAATGGTACTAACTGCTAAAATAGAATTCTATACCTAAAAATATAAATATTAAAAATGAGAGTATAATAAAGATTTAACATACAACTATAAATTTGGAGTTTGTCATCAAAACACACTTCGTAAATTGCAGAAGAGAGGACTATACTAGAAGAAACACAGCAGTATACAGATGACACTTAGACAATAGAGAATGGAAAGCAGAAATTTTAGAAAAAATCAAGTAGAAATGAAAAAACAAAAGGATATATATACACAGCATGTATGTATAAGATTCTCAAAGGAAAAAAGCAAATCAGTGCCAGAAAACAAAATTTTAAATATGTCATTAAAGAAAACTTTGTTAAAATAACAAAATACTTTACATATTAAAGGGAATACCATGTACATAGGAAAATTTTCCCAGAATGATTACCACCAAAATGTAATAAAACTATTGTACCTTAAAAAATATTTTCTTGTTATTTAAGCCAAAAAAGTAAATTACATACAAGAAGGAAAGTTATCATTTAGGCATAACTCTTTTAGATATGGAAGACAATGGAGAGATATATTTCTTACTCAAGGCCAAGAAAAAAATGAGTCAATGATTTTGTATCCAACTTAAGTGACCATCAAATATTAAAAGCACAACTGAAATTTAGAAGCATGCAAAAAAAATTCAGGGAATATTATAAATCTTCAATAATTAAATTTTAAAAATGTAACAATGACACAATAATAGACAAATCACTAAAAAAGAAGATAATATGAAAGTGATCTTATGGGAATTTAATATATTATAGAAGTTACACTTTAAATCAATCAGGAAATAATAGGCCTTTACGTAAATGGAACTGGTATAATTAGCTTCATATACAGATGAAAAAAATTAAAATTAACATTCCTACCTATGCCACATGGAAAATATCTAGACAAATTTTTAAAATAAACATAAAATCAATAAAATTACTAATACAAAATATAAAACATTTTTAAACTTCACATTAGGAAAAGCATTCTCAAACAAGGCTTTTTATCTAACAATTATTTAACAATTATTATAAACAAATTATTGTTAAATTTGACTATATAGTAATAATAATTATTGAGTACTTATTATATGCCAGAGACTATTCATTATTTAAGCCATTTAACATTCACATCAACCCTGTGAGGTGATTTCTATTATAATCTTAAGTTTACAGGTGAGAAACTTGAGAATAAGAGAGGTTAGGTAACTTACCAAAGATCACACAAATAGTTTCAGAGTGGGGATTCAAACCCAAGTCATTTGCTTTTAAAGCCCATACTCTTAACCACTATGCAATATCCTGCTCTACTTAAGACACAAGAAATAGAGTTTAAAAATAATCACTAGGCTTGGATAAAATAACTGTAACACAAATAATATAAAAAGGATTAATATTTGGGACAAAATAAAGAACTCGTACAGGCCTACAAGAAATTGAAAAGCAGCCCAAAAGAAAACTGGGCAAAGGATAATTCACAGGGAAAGAAACTTGAGTGGCCAGTATACATATGAAGAGATAATCAACTCAGTAGTAATCAAGAAAATGCAAATTAAATAATGAGATACTTGTTCACATTCACCAAATTAGCACTAATTTTAGAAGTTTGACAAAATTAAGTGTTGAAAAGATGTAGAGAAATCACCATTATTATATACTGCTGATGGAAGAATAAATAAGTACAGCCATTTTGAAGAATAGTTTGACAGTATCTATTAAAACTCAAAATGCTCATATCCTATAAACCAATAATTTCAATTCCAGGACTCTTTCTTTAGGAAAAAGTCTGCACTGGTAGACAGTTATAAGCATTGTTATTTATAATAATGAAAAACCAAAAGCAAACTACATGTCCATCAACAGAGGAATGTGATTATGTGTATATGTATTTAATAAAATTCTGTGCAACAGTTAAAACAAATGAACAAGATCTAAATGTCTCAATACAAATAGATATGAAAAATATAGTGTTGAGTGAAGAAGTGAAACAATCTCTGGAAGTATAAGCCCCAAACTTCAGTCTGAGGTTGAGGTTTTGGTGAAGAGAAAATCAGGCAAGAGAGTAGAAACAAAGGGATCTTTAGGTTTATCTTCTCTTGTCTTTTTCAAATGTGAACGTATCCATGTTTTGTTGCGTAATTAAAATTAATTTTTAAAAAGTTTGGCAGTAATCAAAATTAGTAAGTGTGGCAACAGAAAGTACTCTATCAATAATGAGAGTTTTCATCAAATTTGTTAAATTTAAATTCAAAGTGCCATGTTTTGCAATGTCATATAGCTTAGGTTCATTATCTGTTAAAGTGTATCATTCTGTGGCCAAGGTCTTTGACTAAGCTTTGGTTAAAATAATAGTTATAATGATAGCAATATGTTTCAATGTTATTTAATGAGAAACTTTGAGTTGTTGACACAAGTGCTTTTAAAACACAAAGCATTGGACTAGATATTGCCCTTTGTTTTAGCTAAATATTGAAGAAGTTCAGAGAATATTTATATACCAGTTACCATAAAATTTAAATTAAATCTATACTTATTCTGTATCATGTTATCTTAACATTGAATTTCTGCCTAAGTTTACAGAATAAGACAGTTTTCTTATAATATTCAAAGGTTTGTTTTAATAATTTCAAGAATTGTTGACTTGTAATGTTGAGAATATAAATTTTTGTTATAGGAAACTACATTTTTTAGAACATTGGCCCTAGAGAATTGTCTTTGTTTCCATAAAACTGTAAACTGTATTCGCCATAGTTTGCATTTGCTCACAAAGTTTACAATAGCTAAACACACTCTCTGACCTTCTTCCCACCCTAATCTTGTTACAATTAACTCAACCAGACTATATGGCTTTTCTTGGAGTGGGAAAAAAATCTAATGAAGACTCTTTTCTTGCAGAACTTATTTTTGCAAGTAAATTAAATAAGTGATTCAAACATATTATTTTGAAGGTAAAAAATGGAATCTTATTCCATTGCCCATGATTCATCAAAAAATTAAAGTAAAAGTTATAAATGGAACATCATGGATGTAGCAATTAATAGTCTGCTTTTCCCTTTAAACAAATTCTCCATTGAGAAAGATTTCAACATAAAAATAAAATTAGGAAAAGATACTAAAGAAAGCATGAGGTATAAGACAATAATCTCTTGAGTGAGAATGGTTTGACTAAAACCATTTTTTAAAAGATGGATGAATTCAACTATATATAAATAAAAAGTCTAAGTACCTAAAGAAACAAGCAAGCAAAGTCAAAGCACAGCCAATAAATTGGAAGAAAGCATCTGCAATACAAATTATAAAAGGCTAATTTCATAAAATGTGTAAGCTCAGGAAAATCAATATAGAAAAATGGGCAAAGGTCATAGACAGATAAGAAAAAAAAGGAGTACAGACAAAAATACAAATTCATTTTTTAAAACGAAAGGAAAAACAAGAAGATGCTGATTTTCATTTATCAGATGAGAACAAATTTTAAGAGTTTAATAATATGAGGAAATGGGCACTCATACTTTCAGGTGAGAATTTCACTTGGTACAGTCCCTATGGAGAGTCACTGGGCAATACCTGTTAATATTTTCAATACATGTAAGTATCATCCCTGTATTCTACTTTTAAAGTTATCATTCACATATATTCAAACAAATGCACAAAGAGGGAGCTAAAAACAATTCACTATAGCACAACTTGTAATAGCAAAAAAACTGGAAATAATCTAAATTCCCATCAATAGAGATTGCTTAAATAAATCATGGTGCATCCCTAGAATGGAATGCTAAATACAACTATAGAATAGTATCCAAGACATCTTGTTACAAGGAAAAGGCAAGATACAGAGCAGAGTGTAAAATATGCTATCATTGCAGGTCTGTTTTTAGACTGTATATATATATGATAATATGTATACATAATATCTCAGGAAACACAAATAACTGATAGCTGTGTTAGGACTGAGGGGCAACATTTATTTTCATTGTCTATTTGTTGACGCCTTTTGAATTTTTTTTTTTTTTTTTTTTTTGAGACGGAGTCTCGCTCTGTCACCCAGGGTGGAGTACAGTGGCTCGTTCTTGGCTCACGGCAAGCTCCGCCTCCTGGATTCACACCATTCTCCTGCCTCAGCCTCCCGAGTAGCTGGGACTACCAGCGCTCACCACCACGCCCGGCTAATTTTTTGTGTTTTTAGTAGAGATGGGGTTTCCCCGTGTTAGCCAGGATGGGCTCGATCTCCTGACCTCGTGATCCGCCCGCCTCGGCCTCCCAAAGTGCTGGGATTACAGGCGTGAGCTGCCGCGCCCGACCGCCTTTTGAATTTTTTTTGTACCAAGTGCATATATTACCTACTTTGAAAATTAACTAAAATTGGGTGGGGGAGAATTTGTAAATACATGCAGATGCTTGATCAACTTCACAATTTGTGTACAACATAATTTTCTAGGAAGATTAAAGAACAGCCTGAAAAACTTGAGACTAAACATAGTAGCCATAGATCTCAGAGTGCACATCTGGGTAAGTAAACTATGTCAAGAGAGCAATAGAATTTTATAAATCTGAATCTCAGCTACCTTTCTCTTGTGTGCAGTTGTGTCTAAGTTCCAGGGAGCTGACAAAGTATTGAGATATTGGCAGGGAGGAGGGAATAGAGCAGATGTAGTGTTGGAATCACTTCTCTACACAGACATACACTGAGAAATCTACAATCCCAATTGGTCTTCCATCATCAGCCCACACAGCTTAGCAAGAAGTTGTTCTTATTCCTGTCCGAATGGGCATTTCAGGATCTCCATTTCCTCTGCTTCTTCAGCACCACACTAAGAGTGGAACAGGATTCTTTTTGCTCCTGTTTTCATGTCACACTAAAGAATATGACTCTCTTTTGGGAGGTCGAGGCTGGCAGATCACTTGTGGGTCAGGAGTCCGAGACAAGCCTGGCCAACATTGTGAAACCCCATCTCCTCTAAAAATACAAAATTAGCTGGGTGTGGTGGCACGTGCCTGTAGTCCCAGCTATTCAGGAGGCTGAGGCAGAATTGCTTGAACCTGGGAGGCGGAAGTTGCAGTGAGTTGAGATCGCACCACTGAAATCCTGCCTGGGTGTCAGAACGAGACTCCATCTCAATAATAATAATAATAATAATAATAATAATAGAATATGACTTTCTTTGAGGCTGACACGGCATTATCATCCAGGGGCAGGATGCCCAAGTCATATCACCCACCCATACCCAAGCTTCTCTAAAGTCTGGCACCATGCCTTGTCTGTCAGCCTGGAGGCAAGAGACAAGGACCCTCTCTCTGGGACCTCCTAGACTCCCCATTTTCATTAATTCTCCTCTATATAACCTCATTCCTCTCAGCCCCAGGGAATCTTTTTCTTTTCTGGTAAAGTAAGTAAAAGCCATATTATTTCTCAATGTTTCTCAGAAACATTTTATCTATATTCTCAATCTTCTAACTTCAGCTAAAGCTTAGACTTTTTGAACACCTGCTTTTTTCTACCACATTATATCATTTACCTTTGAAATGGATCTCAGGGCCAACTCTCCTCTTGAAAGCAGAGATTCTAAACAAATAAGAACATAAGTTAGTGTTCAGTATTAAATATTGATCTGCCTCAAATACAATAGAAGACATTTAAAGTGGTAGGATCTTAGAGTTAGATACTTAGGTTCCCAAATTCTGACCTTCCATTTATTGGCTATGTGATCTCGGGCAAGTTGCTGAATGTTTCTATGTATCAGTTTCCTCATTAATAAGATGGAAATAATAACAGTACCTTTCTCATAGCATTGTCATAAAGACTTGATGAGTTCATAAGTGAGTGCCTACTAGGTAGTATGGGCTCCATAAATGTTAGCCACTATTGTTTTTAGTCATAATAGCAGCACCATTTTGTATAATCATTATGTTAAGTTTTTACATCTCTATTCTAAAACATCACTGGTTGTTCATTGCCCCTGCTGTAGTGTATTATAGCAAATTTTCATCCCCATATGGGCTTACAAAGAACTATTTGAGAGAGAGGTGTTAGAGTTGAAGATAAAGGCTAATGCTCTGGGTGGTTTCAGAGAACAGATGTAGAAGACAGACTGCAGAACGCAGAAGAGACTCTTGTCTCTTACTCCTACTCAGTGAAAGCTTCCTGTGTCCAAGGTAGATGGCATAGTAAGAATGGGTAGAAATGTCATACCACTTACCAGCTCAACCCCACATTCCTCCTCAGGGCCCTTTCCATATTTCACTATTAGAAACTCCTCTAGAATTTTGTCAAACATGCCTTTTTTTAATTATTTTTTAATTTTTTAATTTTTTTTTTTTTTTGAGATGGAGTTTTATTCTTGTTGCCCAGGCTAGAGTGCAATGGCATGATCTCGGCTCACTGCAACCTCTACCTCCCAGGTGCAAGCAATTCTCCTGCCTCAGCCTCCCAAGTAGCTGGGATTACAGGCACCAGCCACAGTGCCTGGCTAATTTTTTGTATTTTTAGTAGAGATGGGGTTTCACTATGTTGGCCAGGCTGGTCTGGAACTCCTGACCCCAGGTGATCCACCCGCCTTAGCCTTCCAAACTGTTGGGATTACAGGCGTGAGCCACTGCGCCCGGCTCAATATGCCTATGTTTTAATGCTACTACAACTTCATATTTCTTCTCATGTTTTCATAAATAAAGAGGAGATAATAATAATTTCATGAATAATTATTGGGAGATGAATTCCTCCCCAACCCTCCCAGTTAGGAGAATGTATATGGAAGCAATTGTTACAACCTGAAAATGTTCACTGATGAACTAAATACCTGTGAAATTATTTTCCTCTCAATATCCCTCATGTAATACACTGACATCTACCCTCACGGAAAGTCAATCTTTATAACATTTAACAACACAAAGCACACAGACTGAAGAGTGAAATTTAAGTCTTGCAATATGAAAAAGACAAGATAGACACCTCAAAAAGGATAATTTGAATATAAAAATATGAAATGAGGCCCTCAGGAAAATCTATGAAGCCAATGAAATTTTTTTCAAAAACTGACTCTACATGATCACATCAAGAAAAATCAAAAACATAAAGAGAAGAATGTCATATTCTACTGTCATACCATTTGTCAGAAAATGTATGCCAAAGTCAACATCTGATTTATTCCTTGTTTTAAATCAATGCATAGTTACAAGCTAAATTTTATAAAGAGAAATAAAATAAACTTGTTTTAATGATTTTTGCTTTATTTGCTAATGCCGTAATGAAACCTTTTATTAACTATATACCGTAAAATTTTTATCCCCATTTAAAATGGATGCCTATTAAAAGTAGGCTTTTTCTAGTGCCTATTTTGTGCTTATCATTGGGACTTATTGCATAACAAAAGCAGAACCCAAGGACTTTCAAACTCAAATGTTAAGTTCTATTCCTTGTTCTCAGTTGAGAATCCCACACGAAATGAGAGTCTTCATTATCTTTCCAAACCTCAGACAACAGTATGCATAATAAGGTACCATGCGTTCAACTTTTGAAAAATGGGTTCAATTTTACAGTCTTAAATTATAAGAATGGCCTTGAAGCCATAATATTTGGAAGAAACATTAGATATAACATCATAAAGCTACTTACCATTAAGTTGGTTGCTACTGTATATAGCTCAAATATCCATACTTTAAATTTATATGTATGGAAAACACAGATTATAAGATTAGCACTCACTATAGCTTTCTGACTGGATCTAAGCCTACAGCAGATATAGATTTTTCCCCCACACACTATCTCCATTAACAGAGACAAATAAATAAATAAATCTAGGCAAGTTGCTTTGATTAAAACCATATATTCAGAGTATGCCTTGCAGGATAGTTCTGCTGGGCTAACCATACCTCTGAGGGCCAGACATCACAGCATGTGTCTCTGATTCATATACTTCCCTGTGGATGACCCAGGGAAAGGTTCAACGTAGAAAGAAAGATGGCTCAATCTTTCTCAAGTCCTGAGGAAAAACAGGGGGAGTTTGTTCATGGAGCTAGTCACCTTTTAGGACGTGAAAACAACCAGACTCCATGGCTTCTGGCATAGTCCACTCTTCTCAGATTTCACCATCTAGAATTTAACATCTTTATCAAAAACACCTTTTTCTAGATTCAATAACAATTAAACTAAAGTACTATGGTAATGTTGGAATTGAGATTGTCTCCAATATTACTGTCTAAGACTCCATGACTAATATGGCAGAAGATCATAAGTGAAACTAAAATAAAGAATCTAAGGCTAATGTGCTTAACCTGGGGTCCCAGAGTAAAATTTGAGAGATTCATGGTCATGGGAGGGAGGAAAAGATACATTTTTTACCAAACTCTAACTTGACATTTTTCTTAATTCTAAATAAAGTTAATAAACCACCATAATATTAGCAGCATCTATGACTTAGTCACCAACAGAAATCACAAATATTTTCATACCACCCTATAGTTGCAATGTATATCTAAAAAATAACATTTACATTTATCTCTATTTCAAAATTATAGTAGTAGCTAATCTGTTGCTAAAATTGCATGTGCTTATAGTCTTCTTGCTATAGATGCTCAGTGTAACGTGGGTAACCAACTATTGAGGAACTCTGTACTCCATAGTCACTTAGCCACCACATCTCCCACCTCTCACATGGGGGACCCAGATCCATGCTGCTTTCCAGTATCTCCTATCTATAATTATTGATCCATCATTGAAAGTGGTGAGTCTTTAATAAATCAAATTAATTGTAACTAGCTATAGTCAGCCTTCCATATTTGTGGGTTCCGCATCCATGGATTCAACCAACCACAGCTGGGGGAAAAGTGGATAGTTGATGTGGCAAGAATCCGTTGGTCAGAAAAAATATAAATACAAATATATTTTTAAGTGGATGGTTACATCTGTATTGAATATATATGGACTTCTTTCCTGTCATTATTCTCTAAGTAATACTGTATAACAACGATTCATATAGCATTTGCATAGGATTAGCTATTACAAGTAATCTAGAGATGATTTAAAGTGTACAGGAGGATGTACATAGGTTATATGCAAACACTGCACCATTTTATGCAAGGTACTTGGGTATCTATGGATTTGGGTATTTGAGAGGTTTCCTGGAACCAATCCCCCACAGATACCAAGGTAAAACTGGAGAGTACTCACTTTGGTAGCACACATACAAAGTGCTATGGAGATACAGAATGGAGAGTTTGGCTCTGCCAGGGGAGGTTAGATTTGGTTCACAGGGAAGGTATTCCCAGAGCTAGCTCTTAAAGAAAGAGGCTTGAAGAAAACACAACATACACTATACTCAATGATACATTGGTAGAAATATTTTCTGTGCTGAAAAAGACATATGTTTAAGGTTAAAGTGGCTCTGAAATCATCCAGAGAGAGAGAAACAAAAAGTATGCCTACATAAGAATAAAATTTAAACTAGTTGACTTATAGTAAAACATAAAAGATAGAACTTAATCTTGACTCATTCCTCCTGAAACCTCACCAAAATGGCACTAAAGGATTTTAAGATATAAACCCACAGGTAAAAAGAGAATAGCAGAAGAGATAAAGAAATTCAAATTTAGAAACAAGAAAGCAGATGGACAAGTAAAACTCCCTAGCAAACCAGAGAAAGGTGAAAACAAACTGGCCATGAAGGAAGAGCAGAACTAAGCTGATTTGGACTGCAAACTCCAAGAGGGCCTGAGGAATTGGAAACCTCAGGTATCCCAGAAAGTGACTATGAAGGTGAAGCTGAAAATGGGTGAACTGATGGCAAGTCTGAATAAGAAACAATAGGATTCCTAGCTCTCCAGTTCACTCCACATCTGGGTGAATACTCTTCCCCCACCTTGGAAGAAGGTTGAAGGCTTTCTTCTCTTGCATACTGAACCAGACTTAGTAGCACCAGGCTTATAGAGAATTGAGATAAGGTGTGCTACTAAAAGAAAAAAAAAAAAACTGGGAAAATGTTGGAAAGTATATCGTGAATGGTGATATTTGGGAGCCTCCATTTCCAACTTGATTCCCAGAATACTGGTAGCAAAGATTTTAACTCTCAGGCAGGGGACTGAACGAATATTGCTCTGGGAAAATTAAACCACTGAAGATTGTGTGTGTGTGTGTGTGTGTGTGTGTGTGTGTGTGTGTGTGTGTGTGTATTTCTTTGGGAGACTTCCAAAGGTAGGAAGTCTCCCAAAGAAATGGCCCATTTCTATAACCAAACATGAAGCACACCATTTAAAACCTACACACAAACACAAAACCTCTTAGCTCTAAAGTGTGCTGGGACTACCAAGAGCAGCAGACATGTAAGGAAAGACTCTAACATTAAAGAGAAAAAAACAGAAGCAAACCAAGAGGCAGAAGGAGAAACTTGGAGGAAAGGAATCCATTCTAAAAGCAGAATAAAATCTCAGAAATATAATTAATATCTTCCATAAGATACTACATCCATGAGCAAAAACAAAATATAAAAACAAAGTTCTTAGGGATTAAAAGTATGGTAGGATAAATGAAAACTCAGTGGAAGGGTTAGAAGATAAACTTGAAGAAGTCCCTAGGAAGTAAACTAAAAGATGAAGAGTCATTTAATCTGTTTAGCAGCAACAGATAATTAAATCATTTTTTAAAAAGACAAAAAGCTGAAAAACAGGAGAAAAAGAAGAGAAAAATTAGAGGATCAGCTCAGGAGCTCCAGGAGATGACCAAATAATAGTTTACAGAATAAAGAACAGAAAAAAAAAATGGTGAAAAGATTATCAAAGAAAAAATACAAAAGAAATTCTCAAAGCTAAAGAGCACTAGTTCACAGTGGGAAGAAATTACTGAGTCTCTAAAAAAAATGAATATAACCGGACCCACACCAAAGCAAATAGTTATGAAATTTTATGCTGACAGAGACACACAGAAGTTCCTAAATTTATCCAGAGGTAATAGTTCTTATGCATAAGATGAGGGATCCCAGTGGTATTGAATTTCTCAGTAGCAACACCTGGAAGACAAATTGTATGTCTTCAAAACTGTGAAAAAAACACATTCTATTATTGAACTACATATTACTTCATATCCATTACTGAATATGTACTTTAGCTGTATGACAAAGGGCAAAGTATTAGAATCAACATCCAGCCAAAATCAAATGTCACTATCATAGAATAAACTTCTGAGCTACAAGATTAAGTTGAAATTTTATCTTTCAAAAGTAAAAGCTATTACAATTTTATTAAAGGTTTTAGTAATCTTTAAAAAAAATTTAACATGCATGAAGAATTTCTCAATATAATTTTGCAATTAGCTACTAAATTGCTCCTCTAGCCACTACAGTTCCCATATGAAAGGCCCGAGGCTCATTTTCAGGTGAAGTCAATGGAGAAGCAAGCTATATTTTAGCTAACTCTGCTGACACAAAGTACTATTGTGGTAATGTCGCCACCAAGTTATTAGGTTCTCCTTTCTCTCTAATGGTAGCTAAGGAAAAGATTATATTGACTTAAACTCCTGGACTCGAAGATTTGGTCAAAAATGAACCAATTTTATTAAAATAGTCTCACAAGTTAACTATACTGCTTTAAGATGCTTTTGAAATAT
Organism: Homo sapiens; assembly: GCF_000001405.40. Classification (NCBI taxonomy): domain Eukaryota; kingdom Metazoa; phylum Chordata; class Mammalia; order Primates; family Hominidae; genus Homo; species Homo sapiens. Next base: position 102,263,572 of record NC_000012.12, on the reverse strand, counting down.
TTCCAAAATGCACTTAAGATTGTTGTCCTCCCTTATACTTTAATTTCAAATATTTTCATCTACATACTTCTATTTCACACAATCGCCTACAAAACCTTGTCCTTGATCTTAGATTAAGACTGGGAATAAAACCATGTAACTGAATACCAAGATAGTAAAACCACCTCTGAATTTTTTCTGCATACCAGCTTTCATTGCATGCCCATCAGTTTCAGCATCCACACCTGGAGTAGAATTATACAAGATCCTTAAAGCAAGTATAAAGTGAAAAATATGTGCATTATCAAGATACAACATGTTAGTATTCAGTCTTGTTATGCTGGTTTAGGATTTTCAAAGATTTCAATTAAGTCTTTCTTCTGTACAAGGGCATGCCACCATGCCCAGCTAATTTTTGTATTTTTAGTAAAGACAGGGTTTCACCGTGTTGGCCAGGTTGGTCTGAACTCCTGACCTCAGGTGATCTGCCTGCCTAGGCCTCCCAAAGTGCTGGGATTACAGGCATGAGCCACCAAGCCCGGCCAGCCTTTTTAATATAACAGGTCCTATTCAACCTTATTTGTCCATCTTATATAAGTTCCATATTCAAACTTCTTGTATATTAAAAGGAGTTCCATATTTATACTTCTTGTATATCATATAGTTCCCTTCTATAAAAAGAGTGATAAAAGTAGACCATATTTATGCTTTCAACAAGAATTTCTTTTTTAATGTACTATAATTATTTTCACACAAATGAAGGGTATAAACAAAACTTTATGTGATTCCTAAATCACTCACATTCTTCATTATATTTCTTCTACTGTCAGTAACAACATAAGACAACTTAAATGAATGATTTTTCCAGAAAATTATAAATTCTTAAAGCCAAATCAAAAATAAGTAAAATAAAAATCTAGGCCAGATGCGGTGGCTCCTACCTGCAATCCCAACACTTTGGAAGGCTAAGGTAAGAGGATTGTTTGGGCCCAGGAGTTCGAGACCAGCCTGGGTAACATAGGAACACCTGTCTCTACAAAAATTTTTTTAAAAAAATAGCTGACAGTGGGGTGCATGCCTGTAGTCCCAGCTACTCGGGAGGCTGAGGTGGGAGGATTGCTTGAGCCCAGGATGTCAAGGCTGCAGTGAGCTGTGATCATGCCACTGCACTCCAGTCTAGGCAATAAAGCAAGACCCTATCTCAAAAAAAATCTAAACATACCAATAATCATACAGTAAATTAGAAAAGATGACCAGAAATTACTCAGTGATATACTAAACTCTTGAGAGTGGATTGCATGCATGTCTTCCCAACTCTGTTTTCAGCGACATCACATTTATAGCTTGAAATCTACCATGATGGGAATATTTACATCACAGAAATTGGCAACGGCTACAAAACAAGGTTTTTTCTTTTCAGAGACCTAGTTGTTGAACATTTACCAGCATATTCCTGGAATTAATCCTCTATCCAAAGTAGCTCAGGTCCAGTGGTTTCCCAGTAAAGTTCTGGCAAACATTCAAGAACAAGTGATTACTGTATTACAATGCTTGCTATTTATATTTAAATTATTTTTCACATAATCTTCACATTCTTAATTTTACAGCAAAACTCTTTGAACAAGTTCTTCATACTCTCTGTCTTCAATCCTCCCCATCCCCACGTTTATTTTGAATCCATTCCAATCAGGCCTTCATTCCCAGCACTCTACTGGAACTGCTTGTGTCAAGACCATTTTGACCCCAGTGTTTGACAAATCCAATGGTGAGTCCACATTCTTATCTCACTCGACCAATTAGCACTATTTTACACAGTTGAATATTACCTTTTCCCTAAAATATATTCTTCTCTAGGTCATTACACTCTACTAGTTTTGCTCCTATCTACTTGCTGTTTCTGAGTTTGCTAATTTTTCCTGATCTTCCTGATATTTTAAAGCTGCCCAGGGGCTCAGCCCTTATCTCTTCTCTCAATCTATACCAAATCCCTAGAAGATCTCATTCACTTCAAAACTTTATATGAATTATATATGCTGGTGAATCTCAAATGTATGACTCCAGCATGGACCTCACCCTTGAACTCCAAATTCATGTATTCAACAGTCTATCACACCTCACTATCTGTTTATCTAATAGACATCTCAGATTTAACATGTCTAGATATATAGTTTATGCCATGATGAAATAATTCATATAATATTTATCCTCCTACAACAAACAACTCTAAAATTCAACAAAAATAAATAAATAAATGGCCTTCAGACACTGGAAGAAAACAGTACAGGTGCAATTCTTGAGAGAAGAAAAAAATCCATAAGGTAAACTTCATGTTCTCCCTGGTTTTTTGCCTGTGGGCACCTTATGAATAGTAGCACAGAGAAGTAGATCACAAATAGAGAGCAGATATCTTGCCTAATAGAGAAAGCAAAGTGAAATGTGTGAGGCAAGTTAACAGAGAAGAGAGAGCTGCATAGAATTATAGTCCCATTTGTTTGTATAGAGATCCACTTTAGTATCTGCATGAATATTAAGCTATGCATGCACAGAGCAAGACTCCAAGAGATCGGTTAGGGAACAACTACTAAAAGACTGTGAGATTAATGCAAACTTCACAGCTCTTACAATGCCGAAGATGTTCAATTTTTGATAAGCCAGAATGAAGAGATTTGGGAATACCTTGGACATTTAGTTTGGATCCCAGAAAGGGTATTTCTTAAGTGAAGAGTTACTCTATCACTAGATTAAGGGCTATTCCAGACCCACCCAGAGAAAGCTTAAAATCAAGTAGGATAAAGATGACTGAATATATTTCCTGCCATCCACAACAAAACTCAACCTTGCTTAATGGAATACATGCTCTTGGCATACTCTATCAAATTTGTAACAACATAGCATCATAAATGTCCAGCATACAATAAAAATTACTAGACATATGAAGAAGCAGGAAAACAAGAGCCAAAAACAGGAGGAAAAAGTCAGTGGAAGCCCAGAGATGGCACTAATGTTGGAATTAACCGACAAGGACTTTAAACATGTTCAAGTATTAAAGACAAAGATGATTGTAGTAAGTAAACAGATACAGACACTGAAAAGAGAATAAAACTTGGGTGGAGAAAGGAATGAAAATTCTAGAACTAAAAAACTTATCTGAAATGAAAATTTCACCTAATAGCCTTAATACTAGAGTATACATTGCCAGAGAAAGATTAGCTTTGGAGATTAGACAAAAGAACTACCCAATCTAAAGCATAGAAAGAAGAAATTTAGATTAGAAAAGTGAACACAGCCTCAGTGGCCTGTGGAACAATATTATATAATCTAACAAATATGTAATTAGAGTTCTAGAGGGAGAGGAAAAAGATATCAGAGGGGGAAATTTAAAAAACACTATAGTCTCATATTTTCCAAGAAGTTTAACTAATCAGATAAACACAAATAAAACCACACATGGACACACTACAATAAAACTGCTGAAAGACAAGGAGTGAGAGAAAATGTTAAAAGGGCACAGAAGGGGTAAAAGACATATTACATACAGGTGAGCAACAGGAATGATTGCTGTCTTCTCATCAGAAACAGTACAAGCCAGATGACAATAAAATGTGACATATTTAAAGTACTGAAAACATAATCAACAAGAATTCTATATTCAGAAAAAAAGTTTTGATATTGAAGGCAAAACAAATATATTTAGATTTTTTTAATCTGAGAGAATTCATAAATAGGGGCAAGACCTGAACCTTAGGCTTAAGAAAAAGGATACTGGCTGGGCACGGTGGCTCATGCCTGTCATTCCAGCACTTCGGGAGGTGGAGGTGGGCCGATCATGAGGTCAAGATATCAAGACCATCCTGGCCAACATGGTGAAACTCTGTCTCTACTACAAATACAAAAATTAGCTGGGCATAGTGGTGCATGCCTGTAGTCCCAGCTACTCAGGAGGCTGAGGAAGGAGAATCGCTTGAACCCAGGAGGTGGAGGTCACAGTGAGCTGAGATCACACCACTGCACTCCAGCCTGGTGACAGAGCAAGACTCCATCTCAAAAAAAGAAGAAAAAAAAAAAAAAGAAAAGGAAAAGGATACCATGCAGAAACTTGTATCTACGAGGAATGAAGTATACTGGGAAAAAAAAGGGTAAATATAAATGACTCTCATTTCTCAATTTATTTAAAAATTGGCTAAAGCAAATATAAAAGTGTTTCATTGTATTTGTAACATATGTATAACAAACAGAAAGACATAATCTAAAATGTGTATGCAATCAATAGCAAGCCAAGATAAATGATGCAGAAACTGGCAAAACTAAAGAAATAAATGTACAAGTTCCTACATCCAGTATGATATTTTAACACTACTCCCAGAAATCAATTTTCTAAAAGTTGGTATGATTAGAAAAAGATCTCAGTCCATTATTGGAAGGGTAAAAAAGATTAGAAAAAGATTTGATCAATATTATGACCAATTGTACTTTCCAAAAATGTTCTCAGCAAGATTTACTGTCCCACAAACTCTTCCAGACCTAGTCATACCCTCATTAAGAGGTGAAGTCTATATCCCCTCTCTTTGTCAAAATGGACAGTACTCTGTGACCACCAAAACAAATGGAACACAGCAGAAGTAGGGCTGCATGACTTCCAAGACTAGGTCAAAAAGTTGATACAGTTTCTACTTGGCTCTGTCTCTCTCGTGACATGAAACTTAGGAGCTCTAAGCCAGTCGCTTCCCCAAAGCCATTGCAGAGGCCATATAAAGAGATCATTTTAAAACAGAGAGAGATTCCCAGCTTATAGCCTTTAATTCAGCACAAACTAGCTGACACTGAGTGGAGTCTGCCTTTGAGATACTCCAGCTGATGCTGAATGTAACATAACTAAACTGTTACCACCAAGACTTGCCAAAATAGCAGAATTTTGAGCCAAATAAATGCTGTTGTTTTAATCTACTATTTGGGGGACATTTGTTACATAGCAATAGATAACTGAAACAATCATTATCAACCAATACTATCTGATTGACATTTATAGAACACTATAACCAAACAACTACAGAATACATAATCCTTCAAGTATTCATGGTACATTAATCAACATAGGTCATATATTGGGCATAAATTTAAAAGGATTAATACCATACTAAATTAGAAATTAATAAAGGAACTAAGTTAAAAATCAATAACAAAAATATATCTTGAAAAAAATACCCCAAATATCTGAAAATTAAGCAACACAGTACTAAAGGATCCAAAATCAAAGAAGAAATCATGAAAGACATTTTAAAATACCTTGAAATAAATGAAAATGAGAACAAAACATAATAAACATTATGAAAGGCATCTAAAGAAGCACGTAGAAGGTAATTTGTAGCTTTACTAGCTTACTTCAGAAAAAAGGAGAAAGGTTGAAAACTCTTAAATTCCCTCAAAACTCTACAAAATTAAACCTAAAGGATGAAAATGTAGGCAACTAAAAAATAAAATAATGGAAATCAATGAAATAGAACACAAACAAGAGAAAAATTAATAAAACGAAAAGCTAGTTTTTTGCAAAGTTTAATAAACCTGGTAATATCTTACCAAGACTGACCAAAAAATAAAAGGGGAAAAAAAAGAAAAAGAAAGAGAGCATCTGGAATGAAGGAAGGCACATCACTATAGATGATGCAAATAGTTAAATAATAATAAGGGAATATTATTAACAGCTAAATGCCAATTAATTTGACAAGTCAGAAGAAATGGGCAAATTCCTTGAAACACGTAAATTACAAAACTGACACAGGAAGATAGTTAAGAAAAAAAAAAAACAGAATACTCCTCTAAGGTAGTCCCCTTTAATCCACTGGGCATACATTGCAACACCCTCAGGGAATGCCTGAAACCATAGACAATATCAAACCCTACACATACTATGGTTTTTCATATACATGCATACCTATGATTAAGTTTACTTTATAAATTATCCACAGTAAGAGATTAACAACTTCTCTTTGACATATATTTGACTTCTCTTTGGTATATCCTAATTGCCAGCATCACTATGCTCATGCTTTGGGGTTATTATTAAGTAAAATAAGGGTTATTTGAACACAAGCAATGTGACACCATCACAGTCAATCTGATAAGAGAGGGATAGTAAGTGGCTAATGGGTAGGTGTCATATATAGTACTGACAGCTGGACAAAGGGCTGTTTCACATCCTGGTGGGACACAGCAGGATGGCAACAGATCTCATTATGATACTCAAAATGGTGTGTGATTTGAAACTTACGAATTGTTTATACCTGAAATTTTCCATTTAACATTTTCTGATCACCGTTGACCATGTTCATGTTCCACTGAAACTGCAGAAAGTGAAACCATGGGTAAGGGAGGACTACTGTATCTGTAAAAGATATATTGAATTTGTAATTAAAATTCTTTACATAAAATAAATTCCAGGCCCAGATGGCTTCAATGGGGAATTCTTTTAAACTTTGAAAGAAAAATTAATCCTAGTCTAATGTGAGATCTTTCAGAACATAGAAGAGGAGGGAATTCATTGTATGAGACAAGCACACCGTAATACTAAAACTAGATAAGAACCTTGCAAAACATGGAAAATTACAGACCCACATCTCTCATGCTTATTGTCTCAAAATATCTTCACAAAAAATTAGCATATCAAATCAGAAAATATATACAAAGAATAGTACCTCATGAGCAAGTGGGGTTTATCTCAGAAATGCAACGTTGATTTAGCATTCAAAATTAAATCAACATAATTCACCACATTAACAGAATAAAATGGCCACCTCACTAATTACCTCAATAGAAGCAGAGAAAGCAGTTTATAAAATTAACACTGTTTCCTGATTTTACAAAAACTCTCAGTAAAGAGTAATAGAAAGACACTCCTGTATATTTGCATTCATCTCCTAACTTTAGCCTTTGTACCTGTAAAATCTATTCTCAAAAGAACAACAAAGTTATCTTGTTAAGACATAATCAGATTAATTTCATTCTTTGGTCCAAAACATCATGTGGCTCCAAATTTTGCTCTGCATTTTAATTGGAAAGATAACTTAGTTATGTGTATAATCTCTAGAGCAAGTGCTAAAAAATACAGAGATATAGAACACAAGTGAATAGAGAAATCAAAAATAGACTATCAGAAAAGGACAGCAGGTAAAAAGAATAGAAGACAAAACCAGAGAGGATAAGTAAAATAATAATAATAGTAATAATATAAAGGTAGATCTAAATGCAACCAAACCAATAGTTACTTTAAAGGCAAATAATTGACACACCAATTTAAAAAAATGATTAGATGGGAATTTAAATTAAAATACTTTTTAAAAAACACTTAATTGTATGAATTTATTTGTGCGTGTGTGTGCGTGTGTGTGTGTGTGTGTGTATTATACATTAAGTTCTGGGATACATGTGCAGAACGTGCAAGTTTGTTACATAGGTATACACGTGCCATGGTGGTTTGCTGCACCCATCAACCCATCATCTACATTAGGTATTTCTCCTAATCCTATTCCTCCCCTTGCCCCCCACCACCTGACAGGCCCCAGTGTGTGGTGTTCCCCTCCCTGTGTCCATGTGTTCTCATTGTTCAGCTCCCACTTATGAGTGAGAACATGTGTTTGGTTTTCTGTTCCTGTGTTAGTTTGCCAAGAATGATGGTTTCCACCTTCATCCATGTCCATGCAAAGAACATGAACTCATCTTTTTTATGGCTGCATAGTATTCCATCGTGTATATGTGCCACATTTTCTTTATCCAGTCTATCATTGATGGGCATTTGGGTTGGTTCCAAGTCTTTGCTATTGTGAACAGTGCTGCAATAAACATACGTGTGCATGTGTCTTTATAGTAGAATGATTTATAATCCTTTGGGTATATACCCAGTAATAGGATTGCTGGGTCAAATGGTATTTCTGGTTCTAGATCCTTGAGGAATTGCCACACTGTCTTCCGTAATGGTTGAACTAATTAACCCTCCCACCACCAGTGTAAAAGCATTCCTACTTCTCCATATCCTCTCCAGCATCTGTTGTTTCCTGACTTTTTAATGATTGCCATTCTAACTGGCGTGAGATGGTACAGCATTGTGGTTTTGATTTGCATTTCTCTAATGACCAGTGATGATGAGCTTTTTTTCACAAGTTTGTGGGTTGCCTAAATGTCTTCTTTTGAGAAGTGTCTGTTCATATCCTTTGCCCAATTTTTGATGGGGTTGATTTTTTTTCTTATAAATTTGTTTAAGTTCCTTGTAGATTTTGGATATTACCCTTTGTCAGATGGATAGATTGAAAAATTTTCTCCCATTCTGTAGGTTGCCCGTTCACTCTGATAGTTTCTTTTGATGTGCAGAAGAAGCTCTTTAGTTTAATTAGATCCATTTGTCAGTTTTAGCTTTTATTGCCACTGCTTTTGGTGTTTTAGTCATGAAGTCTTTGCCTATGTCTATGTCCTGAATGGTATTGCTTAGGTTTTCTTCTAGGGTTTTACGGTTTTAGGTTTTATGTTTAAGTATTTAATCCATCTTGAATTAATTTTTATATAAGGTGTAAGGAAGGGGTCCAGTTTCAGTTTTCTGCATAGGGCTAGCCAGTTTTCCCAACACCATTTACTAAATAGGGATTCCTTTACCCATTGCTTCTTTTTGTCATGTTTGTCAAAGATCAGATGGTTGTAGATGTGTGGCATTATTTCTGAGGCCTCTGTTCTGTTCCATTTTTCTATATATCTGTTTTGGTACTAGTACCAGGCTGTTTTGGTTACTGTAGCCTTGTAGTATAGTTTGAAGTCAGGTAGCATGACGCCTCCAGCTTAGACTCCCACACAATAATAGTGGGAGACTTTAACACCCCACTGTCAATATTAGAGAGATCAATGAGACAGAAAATTAACAAGGATATTCAGGACTTGAACTCAACTCTGGACCTAGAGAACCTAATAGACATCTACAGAACTCTCCACCCCAAATCAACAGAATATACATTCTTCTCAGCACCACATCACACTTATTCTAAAACTGACCACATAATTGGAAGTAAAACACTCCTCAGCAAATGCAAAAGAATGGAAATCATGAAAAGCAGTCTCTCAGAGCACGGTGCAATCATATTAGAACTCAGGACCAAGAAACTCATTCGAACCTGCACAACTGCATGGAAACTGAACAACCTGCTCCGGAATGAATACTGGGTAAATAACAAAATTAAGGCAGAAATAAATAAGCTATTTGAAACCAATGAGAACAAAGACACAATGTACCAGGATCTCTGGAACACAGCTAAAGCAGTGTTTAGAGGGAAATTTATAGCACTAAGTGCCCACAGGAGAAAGCAGAAAAGATCTAAAATTGACACCCTAAGCTCACAATTAAAAGAACTAGAGAAGCAAGAGCAAACAAATTCAAAAGCTATCACAAGATAGGAAATAACTAATATCATAGCAGAACTGAAGGAGATGGAGGCACAAAAAACCCTTCAAAAAATCCATGAATCCAGGAGCTGGTTTTTTGAAAAGATTAACAAAATAGATAGACTGCTAGCCAGACTAATAAAGAAGAAAGAGAGAAGAATCAAATAGACACAATAAAAAATGATAAAGGGGATATCACCACTTATTCCACGGAAATACAAACTACCATTAGAGAATACTATAAACATCTCTATGCAAATAAACTAGAATATCTAGAAGAAATGGATAAATTCCTGGACACATACACTCTCCCAAGACTAAACCAGGAAGAAGTCGAATCCCTGAATAGACCAATAACAAGTTCTGAAACTGAGGCAGTAATTAATAGCCTACCAACCAGAAAAAAGCCCAGGACCAGACAGATTCACAGCCAAATTCTACCAGAGGTACAAAGAGGAGCTTGTACCATTCCTTCTGAAACTATTCCAAACAATAGAAGAAGAGGGACTCCTCTCTAACTCATTTTACGAGGCCAACATCATCCTGATAGCAAAACCTGGCAGAAACGCAACAAAAAAAGAAAATTTCAGGCCAATATCCCTGATGAACATCAATGCGAAAATCCTCAATAAAATACTGGCAAACTGAATCCAGCAGCACATCAAAAAGCTTATCCACTGTAATCAAGTTGGCTTCATCCATGGGACGCAAGGCTGATTCAACATACGCAAATAAACAAACATAATCCATCACATAAACAGAACCAATGACAAAAACCACATGATTATCTCAATAGATACAGAAAAGGCCTTCAATAAAATTCAACACCCCTTCATGCTAAAAACTCTCAATAAACTAGAATGTATCTCATTGATGGAATGTATTTCAAAATAATAAAAGCTGTTCATGACAAACCCACAGCCAATATCATACTGAATGGACAAAAACTGGAAGCATTCCCTTTGAAAACTGGCACAAGACAAGGATGCCCTCTCTCACCACTCCTATTCAACATAGTATCGGAAGTTCTGGCCAGGGCAATCAGGCAAGAGAAAGAAATAAAGGGTATTTAAATAGAAAGAGAGGAAGTCAAATTGTCTCTGTTTGCAGATGACATGACTGTATATTTATAAAACCCCATCGTCTTAGCCCCAAATCTCCTTAAGCTGATGAGCAACTTCAGCAAAGTCTCAGGATACAAAATCAATGTGCAAAAATCACAAGCATTCCTATACACCAATAATAGGCAAAGAGAGAGCCAAATCATGAGTGAACTCCCATTCACAATTGCTACAAAGAGAATAAAACACCTAGTAATACAACTTACAAGGGATATGAAGGATCTCTTCAAGGAGAACTACAAAACACTGCTCAATGAAATAAGAGAGGACACAAACAAATGGAAAAACATTCCATGCTCATGAATAGGAAGAATCAATATCGTGAAAATGGCCATACTGCCCAAAGTAATTTATAGATTCAATGCTATCCCCACCAAGCTACCATTGATTTTCTTCACAGAATTAGAAAAAACTACTTTAAATTTCATATAGAACCAAAACAGAGCCCATATAGCCAAGACAATCCTAAGCAAAAAAAATTAAAATTTTTTTAGATCCAACTTCGTGTGGTCTACACAAGCACTGCAAAACCATCACAATGTACTTTTACATTAAACATCAAAACGACAGTAAAACAATCAATTTATTCTACTATAATCAAGAATAAGTAAAGTATGCCTGCTAACTCTATTGTTAATTAACATTGTTCTGGGAAAGTTGGCCAGTGCAATTGAATAAGAAAGCAAGTTAAAAAGTATGAATATTGGACACGAGGAAAAACTAAGTTTGAAAATGGCATTACTATCTAGATATAAAACTCAAAAGAATAACCTGAAAAGCAACTAGGATTTGTAAGAAATATTTGTAGAGTAGTAATTACAAAATAAATAAAGCTCAATCTTTTCTTATATTTGGCAATAATGGATTGGAAAATAAATTGCATTCATAATAGCAAAACAATATATATCACCTAAGAGTTAAACTCATGAGAAATGTGCAGAACCTCTGTGAAGAAAACCACAATATTGTTGTTGAAGAACATAAAAGAAAACTTGTCTAAATGGAGAACTATATCATGTTACCAGCTAAGAAGACTTAATATTGTCAAGATGTTAATTCTTCCCAAATAAATAAATAAACTCAGTACAATCCCAGTGGGTTCGAGGATTTATTTCTGGAAACTCAACAAATGATTCCACAGTTCATCTGGAAGAATAATACATGAAACTAAGTAAGAGATTTTGAAAATTCTAGTAATGGTAGAGATTTGCCCTGCTAGAAAATAAAATGCATTAATATATAAAATAATGGTTAAAATGTTGCAGTGCTGCCATAAAAACAAGCAAACAATGAAATAAAATTTAAAGTTTAGAACTGTTTCTGTATAAACCTAAGATTAATGTGTTAGTAGTGGCATCTTAAATAAGTGGGGAAGAAGACATTACTCTATAAATGGTAATGAAATACATAACTAACAATTTTGGGAAAAATAAGCTAGATTAGTACTTTATACTATATTCAAAACAAATTCCAGACTTATTAAAGATTTAGGTACAAAAAATAAAACAACATTGAAACACTAAAGGAATATATACGTGGATATATAATTTTGCTGTGGTAAAGAAAATGAGTCCTAAAGTAGAAACCACAAGGGAAAATATTAAACTTGCTATAAAAATATATTTTCATTTGGTAAAAGATTACATTAAAATAAACTTGCAAATTACTAACAGAAAAATATATGCAACATATCTTTAAGAAAAAGCTCATATAAATCTATATGAAGTTGACAAAGGCATCAAAAGGAAACAATATTCACTAAAGGATAATAATGGAAAATTCCCAAAAGAAGATATAGCCCGGCCAGCCACCCCGTCCAAGAGGGAGGTGGGGGGCGCCTCTGCCCGGCCTCCCCATCTGGTAGGTGAGGGGCCCCTCTGCCCGGCCGCCACCCCGTCTGGGAGGTGTACCCAACAGCTCACTGAGAACGGGCCATGATGACGATGGCGGTTTTGTCGAATAGAAAAGGGGGAAATGTGGGGAAAAGAAAGAGAGATCAGATTGTTACTGTGTCTGTGTAGAAAGAAGTAGACATAGGAGACTCCATTTTGTTCTGTACTAAGAAAAATTCTTCTGCCTTGGGATGCTGTTAATCTATAACTTTACCCCCAACCCCGTGCTCTCTGAAACATGTGCTGTGTCAACTCAGGGTTAAATGGATTAAGGGCGGTGCAAGATGTGCTTTGTTAAACAGATGCTTGAAGGCAGCATGCTCCTTAAGAGTCATCACCACTCCCTAATCTCAAGTACCCAGGAACACAAACACTGCGGAAGGCCGCAGGGTCCTCTGCCTAGGAAAACCAGAGACCCTTGTTCACGTGTTTATCTGCCGACCTTCCCTCCACTATTGTCCTATGACCCTGCCAAATCCCCCTCTCCGAGAAACACCCAAGAATGATCAATAAATACTAAAAAAAAAAAAAAAAAAAAAGAAGAAGATATAATTATTTGTCCCCTAATAATTAAAAGTACAACTTAAGAGGTACACCTTGTTAGAATATCAAATAGGCAAAGTTCTCTCTATATATTAGTAAGTGTGTAGGAAAATAGTAACTCTGATATATGAGTAGAAGAGTATAGATTTGTATAATCTTTTTGAAATGCAGATTGGAATTCTTGAAATTTTGTAAATTTACCACTTAGAAAAATGAATCCTAACAAAATAATAATGGATTTCTCTAAATAAATACTCATGGTAGCTGATTAGGAAATGCCAAACTAAAGATGGCTCCACATAGTTTTCTTTACAAAATCAACTCAAACCAATGATGAAAACTAAAAAAGAAAAAAATAATAATTTTTGATAAAGTTATAACACATCTGTAACCTCGAACTACAATATTTGAGTAAGAGCTGCCAACAGGGAAGTTCAAACAGGAGTGCAGGGAAATACCTATAGACATCTGTGGCTGAGAATCTCAGCTAACTGGGAGGCCAAGGTGGGCAGATCACGAGTCAGGAGATCGAGACCATCCTGGCTAACAACGGTGAAATCCTGTCTCTACTAAAACTACAAAAAAATTAGCTGGGCATGGTGGTGGGTGCCTGTAGTCCCAGCTACCTGGGAGGCTGAGGCAGGAGAATGGCGTGGACCCGGCAGGCGGAGCTTGCAGAGAGCCGAGATCCCGCCACTGCACTCCAGCCTGGGTGACAGGGCGAGACTCCGTCTCGAAAAAAAAAAAAGTCTCAACTAAACCAGGTAGAGTACAGTTCAAAGTATGTGACACAATATGAGAGGCAAAACCACAAACCTTGTCTAGAACAATGAGAACAGGATGCCTGGTCTTTAGAGGGAGCTTATCTGGACCTTCTCTGAGCCCAGAGAACAGGCAGGGAAGGTGAGGCTGAACAAGGAAACACACACATTTCTGAGAAGCAGTGTATCCTTGAGGAAGGGTGAAGGAAATGGATCTGAATTATGAGTAATCCAGCAATTGCTGATTTCTTTGAACTAGAGAAAAACGAAGGTTAAAATAGTGTACATACACACACACACACCCCTGAGTCATAAGGAGCTTTACTGTGGAGGAGTTACTGCTTGCCTGGAACACTACTCTATTCTCTCCCCTGAAGGAACCTCTTGAAAATAACTGGAGGAATTAACCTCATTCACAAAAGAAATAACACAAAAAGAACCAGCCAAGGATCTATACAAAGTTACTTTCAGGAAAAGGAAGAAAAATGTGGGAAAAACAAGTGGCAGGTGATGAATACACACCAGAACAATATTGTCACTGCCCAGATAAAAATCATGACCAAATAAATATGGCCGTGAATACTAGGCACCTAATGAATCAAAAAGCTCAAAGCAGACAGCTGGAGGAGATGAAACATGAGCTGGCAGACTTGAAAAATAAATAGAAAAATAAATAAATAAAGCCATCCAAGAAATCAAGGCTACATTAAGCAGCACAAAGAGCCATCACTGAATTCATACTAAGGCACAAAAGAGCAGGATTGAGGAAAGCAAGCAAAATAATAGACATGGAAAACAGACCAAAAAAAAAAAAAATAGGGTGGTGGGGGGAACACACAATAAATAAAACATAAAATAAAATTTAACACATAATTTTGAAGAACCTATAGCTTAAACCGAAAATCCTTACCAAAATTAAAAAAGCAGAAAACCTCATGCAATTTTATCAATGCTGAAACATTTCCTAGTGATAGTATAGGTCTTCAAATGTCAAAACAACAACAACAAAAACTTTGGGCATTCAGGCTAAGATTATTAAGTAACCTACAAGTTTGAAGTGGACTCATATTTGTTCTTCCTAAATTTTCTATTTCTAACTCTAAGGCCACCCAGCTAGATACTGCATTTTCTAGCTTTTTTTTTCAGTTAGCTACGGTGGCCATGAGCAAGTTCTGAATATTGAATATGTACAAAAGTATGTAAAGTCATTTGCAATTTAAAGAAAATCTGCTTTCTCTGTATTTTGCCTCTTTTCCTCTTTTGCAAGCTGGAAGGTAGATTTGCCAACATCCCACTTTTGATTTTGAGGGTGACAAAATGCCCAAAAAGGGATAGTGGAGCAACAACATGGAAGAAATGGCTCTCTGGGTGACCTTGCGCAGCAGTTGCTCTGATAACTTAGACCAGCCAGACTGATACATGAGAGTGATACAAGGTTGAATCTTAGTTAACTCACTGTATTTTTGTACTTTGTTACAGTATTAGTTTCTTTCCCATACTTAATACAAAGAAGAAAAATTAGACTGACCTTATAGTTCACAACAATATTTGATGCTGGAAGACAGAAATATGATACAAAGAACCCAGGAAAATAATATGTGATCCATGATTTCTATATCCAGCCAAACTGTCATTTAAATATAAAGGAAACAGATAGATGTGACTTCCATGAACACTTCTGAAGAACCTACTAGACAATAAACTTCAGTCAATCAAAAAATGAATGGAGAAAAATTACTCACAGTGACTATGGAATCTATTTAATCACGGATAAAGATGGCAGCAAAACAGAATGCATAGGTTACAAATTATAAGAATGAATGATAATATTAGATGAAGGTGAGAAAGAGAGAAGACAGAAGATGTGCAAGTATGCGTATTTTCTCCTACATACGGCCAATCATCTTTCAAAAACATAAAGACTAGAAAAAAATTTTTAAATAATATATAATTGATTAAAATTGTTGGTGGAGGGGAGAGAGGGTAAAACAGTGGCTCTCAACTATAGCTGCTCTTTAAAGTCATATGGGGGACTTTTTGAAAATAATTATCTCTTAATCTTAGAGGCACTGGTATTTTTTAAAAGCTCCCAGATGATACTAATGTGGACCAGTGCTGAGAACCACTAAAGTAGAAGAGTACTACCAAATGTCATTGCTCTAATGGTGAATCAACAGACACTGGCTGGAATAAATGCTAAAGCATATTAAATTGCAAGGTTTTAAGATGACCACTAACAGAATTTAAAATAAATCTTTGAATTACAAGGAAGCATGTGCATGCATAGATGTGCCTGTGAATACATACATGCATACACACAAAAGCAATAAAAAACAAATTATATAAAAAGATTATTAAACAAAGAACCAATATAAACTGAAATCACGATATATATAAAATATGATGACAAAAATTTATCTGTCTTACATTAATGGGATAAAATGACCTGTATATGTATATATATCAATCTGATATAAATTCATAAAACATATATTCATAAAACAAAATAAAATCACACAAGACATAAAGAGAGAAATGAAGTAAACCTGATGAAAATAAAATGAGTTAAATAAGGCACAAACAATTCATTCATTAGAAAACAAGAAAAAAGATAAAATAACAAATAAAGCCAAGAGCATACTGTTTAAAATAATGAAATAGATAAATTATTAGCTTACCTAATCAAAAAAAGGACAGAATAAAATCATAAAATAAGAAGTGAGAATGGGAAAATAATACAGAGAATAAATACAGATACAATGGCTAATACTTAGCCAATAGGCACTATTATGACCATATCAGATATTTGTGTTTGATATATATTGTGGTTGGTTGTAGCATCTGCTATGAGTTATTAATGCCCATGCCAACTAAGTTTTCAACATTTTGCACATCATGTCTACACAGAAAATCAACTGAGTCAATTCTATGTAAATAAACTTGGGATCTTGAAAGACATAGATTGTTTTCTGGGAAAACAGACTGCCAAAACTGACCCAAAAGAGATAGACTATGTAATAAAAAAAAAAAAATTAAGATCACCCTACAAAAAAAAAAAAAAAAGAGAGAGAGAAAGAGAAAGAAAAGTACCAGGCCCAGTGGGTTTAATTAACTAAATTCTCCCAAGCTTTTACAAACCAGTGACATGAGTGCTAATTAAAAGTGTCAAAGCATTGAAAAAGAACAACTTATCAAATATTTGTTATAAAAACATAATAGAACCAAAACCTGAAATGAGCAGCCCAAAAAGAAAAACTATAGATCAATTTCACATATGAGTAGTAATACAAAACAGTTTAAATAAATTATTAAAATTAAAATCTAGCAGCATATTTACAGAATACCACAAAATGATTAAATGGGGCTCCTACCAAGACAGTTCTGATTCAATATGAGAAAATAAATATAATTCACCATATTAATGAATCAAAATGAAAAATCATATGGTCTTCTCCATATGTCCTACAAAGACATTTGATAAAATTCAATATTGATTTGAGATGAAAATTCTTAATTAAAAAAAGAATAGGTAAATGTATCCTTGTATGTTTAACATAATTCTTAGTGGGGAAACCGTAGGAACACCCCTGTTACAGTCAGAAACAACACAAGGATATCCATCATCATCATCACCATCATCATCATCACTATCATTACCGTCATTCTTTTCTAGGTACTTTACATGTTTTAATTTAGTCATCACAACAACCTTGTGACATAAATGTAATATAGTTTTTCCTGTTTACAACTATTATCTAAAATTTTTCTGAAAGTACTAACCTATTCAATTGGACTAGTCTGGTGAAATAAGAAATGCAAAATTCTAAAATGAGAAGCATTTGCAAATAATTTGTACAGTTGGAAAACACACAAAAAGTAATTATAGATAAGATAATTTAATAAAATGCCTAGGTTCAAAATTAATATAAAAAATTTCTATTTCCATGGAAAAGCTTGTATTGAATCAAACCTCCCTATAAGAAAAGCTAGAAAAGTTCGATAAAATTAAAACATCTGTTTGAAAGCATTCAAAACTATCAAGGCAGTCAGGACATGAAAGATAAAGCTCTTCAAAAACCAGGAAGTGAACTGAGATAAAACACAAAATTCTGTCCCTCTTTTTCTCTGAATACATTTGCTGATTCGTTAGTGTCACAGGGTCTAGAGTCTGAAAATTTAGCAAAAAGGGGTGTCTATAAGACGGTCAAATTATCTCTACGATTTTCTCATATGTGATGTTTATCATTCAATTAAAAATTATAAAGTGTAAAAGGAAATAGAAACAACTGAAACCAACAGGAAAAGAAACAATAGAAATGCTAGTGATCCAGAGTTACTATTCTAGATGCACTATATCTGTTTTTAAAATGGTCCTCAAAAATGTCAACCAGATCTCCAAGTGAATTAACCACCTGCTGAAACAAAGCCCAACAATTATTGAAGGAAGACAATAAAATAAAGACACTCGGTCAGGTGTGGTGGCTCACACACATAGCAAGAAAAGAAACTGTCTGAGGTCTAGAAGCAAGCAATGTCAAATCCAGGAGCAAACTGAGCATATCATAAATAAATTACCAAAAACTGATGATAAAAAGAAAATCTTAAAACAACCAAAGAGGGGAAAAAGACACATAATGAACAGAGAAACAAAAAACAAGAGTACCTGAAGACTTCTCATTGTAAACTATGCAAGCTAGAAGACAATCAAATAACATCTTTAAATTGCTAAAAGAAAAAAAAATTGTCAATCTAAAATTTTATATATAGTAAAAATATCCTTCAAAAACAATTAAAAATTAACATATTTCACTTAGACATATAAATGTTGAGAGATTCATCACAGAAGATTAGTATTAAAGAATATTAAAGTTTTTCAGACAGAAAAAAATAATACCAGATGAAAATTGTATCAATGTCAAAGAATAAGAGCACCATAAATGGTAAAGATATATATAAATACATAACTTTTTCTTTTTTTAAACATTTATTTAAAAGATTGTTGTCTATGTAAAGCAAAAATAATAATAATGTAGTGTGGAATTTCTAACATATGTAGAACTAAAATGTGTGACAATAATAACATAAAGGAGCAGAGGCGACTGGAAGCATACTGTTGCTTCTTATGACCAAGCTGAAAATCAAATCAAGAACTCAATCCCTTTTACAATCGCTGCAAAAATAAATAAATAAAACACATAGGAATATACTTAACCTTGGAGGTGAAAGACCTCTACAAGGAGAACTAGAAAACACTGCTGAAATAAATCATAGATGACACAAATGAATGGAACTACACCCCATGCCCATGGATTAGAAGAATCAATATCATGAAAATGACCAAACTGCCCAAAGCAGTCTACATTTTCAATGCAATTCCTATCAAAATACCAACATCATTTTTCACAGAATTAGAAGAAACAATCCTAGAATTCATATGGAACCATAAAAGAGCCCAGATAGCCAAAGCAATCCTAAACAAAAAGAACAAATTAGGAGGCATCACATTACCCAACTTCAAATTATACTACAAGGCTATAGTAACCAAAACAGCATGGTACTGATATAAAAGGAGAGATACAAACCATGGGACCAGTGTAAAGAACTCACAAATAAAGCCAAATACTTTCAAGCAACTAATCTTGGACAAAGTGTGCAAAAACATAAATTGGAGAAAGAACACACTATTCAGTAAATTGTGCTGGGAAACTGGATAGCCACATGTAGAAGGATGAAACTGGATCCCTATCTCTCACCACATACAATAATCAAATCAAGATTAAAGACATAATCTAAGACATGAAACCTTAAAAATTCTAGAAGAAAGCCTAGGGAAAAACTCTTCTGGACATTGGCCTCGACAAAGAATTTATGACTAAGACCCCAAAAGTAAATGAACAAAAAAGCAAATAAATAAATAAATAAAAATGGGACCTAATTGAACTAAAATGTTCTGCATAGCGAAAGAAATAATCATCAGAGTAAATAGACAACCCACATAATGGGAGAAAATATTTGCAAGCTATGCATCTGACCAAGGACTAATATCCAGAATCTACAAGGAATTCAAGCAAATCAGCAAGAAAAAAACAAATAATCCCATCAAAAAGTGGAAAAATGACATGAATAGACACTTCTCAAAAGAAGATATACAAATGACCAATAAAGAAATGAAAAATGCTTAACATCACTAATGATTAGAGAAATGCAAATTAAAACCATAATGAGATACCATCTAACCCAGCCAGAGTGACCATTATTAAAAAGTCAAAAAACAACAAATGTTGGCATAAATGTGGTGAAAAGGGAACGTTTAAACTGCTGTTGGGAATGTAAGCTAGTACAAGCTCCATGGAAAACAGTATGAAGATTTCTTAAACAACTAAAAGTAGATCTACCATTCAATCCAGCAATCCCACTACTGAGTATCTACCGAAAGGAAAATAAGTCATTATCTCAAAAAGAGATGTGCACATGCCTGTTTATCACAACACAATTCATTCACAATTGCAAAGATATGGAACCAATCTGTGTCCACGAACTGATGTGTGGATTAAGAAAATACAGTATGTATACACCATGGAATACTACTCAGCCATTAAAAAAGAATGAAATAATGGGGTTTTTTTGCAGCAACTTGGATGGAACTTAGGGCCATTATTCTAAGTAAAGTGACTCAGGATTGGAAAACAAAATACCATATGTTTTCACTTATAAGTAGGATCTAAGCTATGGGTATGTAATGGCATACCAAGTGGTATAATGGACTTTAGAAACTCAGAAGGGGCCAAGAGTAAGGGATAGAAAGCTACATATTGGATACAATGTACACTACTTGGGTGACAGGTGCACTAAAATCTCAGACTTCACCGCTATACAATTCATCCATGAAATAAAATCTTGTACCCCAAAAGCTACAGAAATAAAAAATGTATACATAATAAAAAGAAGAAAATGGCTAAACAGAAGTAAAATTACAGATATACATATGAAAAGAATACTATACAACCATTAAAGCACAGAGTTTGTTCTATCCAAGCAGCTCCATGTCTCTGTAGTTAAGATATTCATGACAAAACATCTCTTGGATTTAAATAACCAAACTTTATAGATGTGTGAATATCTCCATACATCATTTTCTAGTCAAAGTTTATATAGGAACATTTGATATTAACTTCCTCAAAATGCAATACAGTTTTACCAAAATTATGAGCAGGAAAACTATCAAGGTCCATTCTAAATACAATTAACAGAATCTCAGAATAAAGAGTAGTTTCAAAATCTCATGAAGTGTCCAAAAAAATGGAATGTGAATTTCTGAATGTTGATGCTAAAAGAGGCATTACAATGGATATAAAGCCACTGTTTGTTAAAAACCATATGAATTGTCTAATACTCAGAAAGTGACATTTTAATCATTTTACATCCTAGCATGATTGTTTGTTGCTCATACATTGAAATTTTACTGTCCAGGAGGTGACCTAGTGGTTCTCCGAACTTAGAATATTAGATATTTCATGGCTTTCATTCTTAGCTGTGAGATGTGTCAATCCCAGGGAAACAAAAGTCTCCAAATACTATCCTGTTGATTTTCAATGGGAGAGGGGAAGAAAGAAGGAGGGACGGGAGGTTATAAGAAAATATATATAAAGACATTTACAAAGAAAATAAAGGTATAAAGTCTAAAAATGATTTTTTAGATAGAGACAAACTGAGCAATGAGTATGCTCAGGTGAAAGAGCCAATCAAGAGTCAGAGTTTAAAATGAAGGATAAGAGGAGGCATTTGCTGGAGTAAGGCTCCTAAAGAGGTGGAGAAGGTAGGATAGAACACCTTGGCAAAGGACTGAATTGAACAAGAGGAGGGATATTGAAACAGAAAGGAAAATGGAACAAATGGATGCAGGTAGTAAGAATGTTACAGAAGCTAAAAGTAACCACTGAAAAATTACTGACTAGATCAGGTTTCCCATAGTGGAATAAATAACAAAAACAAGGTTATTCTTTAAGAGGTGTCTTATGCTTATACAGCATATCCATAAAGAGAAAAGAGAGAGAGTGAGGTAACTCTTGCAAGACTCCCTAGCAGTGTTGAGAACACAGTTGAACTAAACATCATAAAGGTGTAGGAGCTTACTATGTATTTCCTTCATAAATCCTTAATAGTGTTGCATGTCAGAGGAGGATGACAATGATCAGATATAGTTTGCTGCTGACATTTTTCAGGCCAAGCAGAGCAGAGAAACAGAAAGTGAGAGTATTAAGGGTGATGAAGAAGGACAAGCTCAAGTAATAGATTATGGGGCCCAGAATAAATAGAGGAAAAAAAGAGGCAAATGTGAACTAATCTACTGGGACACAATGCATTAGAAAGTAACTGAAATATAAATCAGTCTACTATAATGACACATGCAAACATATGGTTTCTTATTTTTATTTTCTTTTTTTAAGTTTTTGTAATTTTTATTTTTTATTATTATACTTTAAGTTCTAGGGTACATGTGCACAAAGTGTAGGTTTGTTGCATATGTATACATGTGCCATCTTGGTTTGCTGCACCCATTAACTCGTCATTTACATTACGTACTTCTCCTAATGCTATCCCTCCACCATCCCTCCACCCCATGACAGGCCCCAGTGTGTCATGTACCCTGCCCTATGTCCAAGTGTTCTCATTGTTCAATTCCCACCTATCAGTGAGAACATGCGGTGTTTGGTTTTCTGTCCTTGTGACAGTTTACTCAGAATGATGGTTTCCAGCTTCATCCATGTCCCTACAAAGGACATGAACTCATCCTTTTTTATGGCTGCATAGTATTCCATGGTGTATATATGCCACATTTTCTTAATCCAGTCTATCATTGATGGACATGTGGGTTGGATCCAAATCTTTGCTATTGTGTATAGTCCCACAATAAACATAGGTGTGCATGTGTCTGTATAGTAGCATGATTATAATCCTTTGAGTATATATACAGTAATGGGATCGCTGGGTCAAATGGTATTTCTAGTTTTAGATCCTTGAGGAATTGCCACACTGTCTTCCACAATGGTTGAACTAGTTTATGTTCCCACAAACAATGTAAAAGTGTTCCTATTTCTCCACATCCTCTCCAGCATCTGTTGTTTCCTGTCTTTTTAATGATTGCCATTCTAACTGGTGTGAGATGGTATCTCACTGTGGTTTTGATTTGCATTTCTCTGATGACCAGTGATGAGGAGCACTTTTTCATGTGTTTGTTGGCTGCATAAAAGTCTTCTTTTGAAAAGTGGCTGTTCATATCCTTTGCCCACTTTTTGATGGGGTTATTTGATTTTTTCTTGTAAATTTGTTTAAGTTCTTTGTAGATTCTGGATAATAGCCCTTTGTCAGATGGGTAGATTGCAAAAATTTTCTCCCATTCTGTACATTGCCTGTTCACTCTGATGGCAGTACTTTTGCTGTGCAGAAGCTCTTTAGTTTAATTAGATCCCATTTTGGCTTTTGTTGCCATTGCTTTTGGTGTTTCAGTCATGAAGTCCTTGCCCATGCCTATGTCCTGAATGATATTGCCTAGGCTTTTTTCTAGGGTTTTTATGGTTTTAGGTCTAACATTTAAGTCTTTAATCCATCTTGAATTAATTTTAGTATAAGGTGTAAGGAAGGGATCCAGTTTCAGCTTTCTACATATGGCTAGCCAGTTTTCCCACCACCATTTATTAAATAGGAAATCCTTTCCCCATTTCTTGTTTTTGTCAGGTTTGTCAAAGATCAGATTGTTGTAGATGTGTGGTGTTATTTCTGAGGCCTCTGTTCTGTTTCATTGGTCTATATATCTGTTTTGGTACCAGTGCCATGCTGTTTTGGTTACCGTAGCCTTGTAGTATAGTTTGAAGTCAGGTAGCATGATGCCTCCAGCTTTGTTCTTTTTGCTTAGGATTGTCTTGGCAATGCGGGCTCTTTTTTGGTTCCATATGAACTTTAAAGTATTTTTTTCCACTTCTGTGAAGAAAGCCATTGGTAGCTTGATGGGGATGGCATT
This sequence comes from Homo sapiens, assembly GCF_000001405.40. Classification (NCBI taxonomy): domain Eukaryota; kingdom Metazoa; phylum Chordata; class Mammalia; order Primates; family Hominidae; genus Homo; species Homo sapiens. The sequence goes on along the minus strand of NC_000012.12, from coordinate 102,239,844 downwards.
GAATCTGTAAATTACCTTGGGCAGTATGGCCATTTTCATGATATTGATTCTTCCTACCCAAGAGCATGGAATTTTCTTCCATTTCTTTGTATCCTCTTTTATTTCATTGAGCAGTGGTTTGTAGTTCTCCTTGAAAAGGTCCTTCACATCCCTTGTAAGTTAGATTGCTAGGTATTTTATTCTCTTTGTAGCAATTGTGAATGGGAGTTCACTCATGATTTGCCTCTCTATTTGTCTGTTATTGGTGTATAAGAATGCTTGTGATTTTTGCACATTGATTTTGTATCCTGAGACTTTGCTGAAATTGCTTATCAGCTTAAGGAGATTGTGGGCTGAGACGATGGGGTTTTCTAAATATACAGTCATGTCATCTGCAAACAGGGACAATTTGACTTCCTCTTTTCCTAATTGAATACCCTTTATTTCTTTCTCTTGCCTGATGGCCCTGGCCAGAACTTCCAACACTATGTTGAATAGGAGTGGTGAGAGAGGTCATCCCTGTCTTGTGCCAGTTTTCAAAGGGAATGCTTCCAGTTTTTGCCCATTCAGTATGATATTGACTGTGGGTTTGTCATAAATAGCTCTTATTATTTTGAGATACATTCCATCAATACCTAGTTTATTGAGAGTTTTTAGCATGAAGGGCTGTTGAATTTTGTCGAAGGCCTTTTCTGCATCTATTGAGATAATCATGTAGCTTTTGTCACTGGTTCTGTTTATGTGATGGATTGTGTTTACTGATTTGTGTATGATGAACCAGCTTTGCATCCCAGGGATGAAGCCAACTTGATCTTGGTGGATAAGCTTTTTGATATGCTGCTGGATTCAGTTTGCCAGTATTTTATGAGGATTTTCACAACGATGTTCATCAGGGATATTGGTCTAAAATTCTCTTTTTTGTTGTTGTGTCTCTGCCAGGCTTTTGTCAGGATGATACTGGCCTCATAAAATGAGTTAGGGAGGATTCTCTCTTTTTCTATTGATTGGAATGGTTTCAGAAGGTATGGTACCAGCTCCTCTCTGTACCTCTGGTAGAATTCGGCTGTGAATCCATCTGGTCCTGGAGTTTTTTTGGTTGGTGGGATAATTATTGCCTCAATTTCAGAGCCCGTTATTGGTCTATTCAGAGATTCAACTTCTTCCTGATTTAGTCTTCGGATGGTGTATGTGTCCAGGAATTTATCCATTTCTTCTAGAATTTCTAGTTTATTTGCATAGAGATGTTTATAGTATTCTCTGATGGTAGGTTGTATTTCTGTGGGATTGGTGGTGATATCCCCTTTATCATTTTTTTATTGCGTCTATTTGATTCTTCTCTCTTTTTTTTCTTTATTAGTCTTGCTAAACTCAAAATAAACGGATGGAGGAAGATCTAACAAGCAAATGGAAAGCAAAAAAAAGCAGGGGTTGCAATCCTAGTCTCTGATAAAACAGAGTTTAAACCAACAAAGATCAAAAGAGACAAAGAAGGCCATTACATAACAGTAAAGGGATCAATTCAACATGAAGAGCTAACTATCCTAAATATATATACACCCAATACAGGAGCACCCAGATTCATAAAGCACGTCCTTAGAGACCTACAAAGAGACTTACGACTCCCAAATAATAATAATGGGAGACATTAACACCCCACTGTCAATATTAGACAGATCAATGAGACAGAAGTTTAACAAGGATATCCAGGACTTGAACTCAGCTCTGCACTAAGCAGACTTAATAGATATCTACAGAACTCTCCACCCCAAATCAACAGAATATACATTCTTCTTAGCACCACATCGCACTTATTCCAAAAACTGACCACATAGTTGGAAGTAAAGCACTCCTCAGCAAATGTAAAAGAAGAGAAATCACAACAAACTGTCTCTCAGACCACAGTACAATCAAATTAGAACTCAGGATTAAGAAGCTCACTCAAAACCACACAACTACATGGAAACTGAACAACCTGCTCATGAATAACTACTGGGTAAATAATGAAATGAAGGCAGAAATAAAGATGTTCTTTGAAACCAGTGAGAACAAAGATACAACACCAGAATCTCTGGGACACATTTAAAGCAGTGTGTAAAATTATAGCACTAAATGCCCACAAAAGAAAGCAGGAAAGATCCAAAATCAACACCCTAACATCACAATTAAAAGAACCAGAGAAGCAAGAGCAAACAAATTCAAAAGCTAGCAGAAGGCAAGAAATAACTAAGATCAGAGCAGAACTGAAGGAGATAGAGGCACACGTATGTTTATTGCAGCACTGTTCACAATAGCAAAGACTTGGAACCAACCCAAATGCCCATCAGTGATAGACTGGATAAAGAAAATGTGGCACATATACACCATGGAATACTATGCAGCCATAAAAATGGATGAGTTCATGTCCTTTCCAGGGACATGGGTGAAGCTGGAAACCATCATCCTCAGCAAACTAACACAGGAACAGAAAACCAAACACTGTATGTTTTCACTCATAAGTGGGAATTGAACAATGAGAACACATGGACACAGGAAGGGGAACATTACACACCAGGACCTGTCAGGGGGTGGGGGGCTAGGGGAGGGATAGCATTAGGAGGAATACCTAATGTAGATGATGGGTTGATGGATGCAGCAAACCACCATGGCACGTGTATACATATGTAACAAACTTGCACATTCTGCACATACATCCCAGAACTTAAAGTATAATTTTAAAAAAGGACCCTTTTAAACAAGTCATTTGTTCTTTCTCTGTATGCTCAGAAAATTGGTTCTATATTTCTACTGCTTTTCTGTGCTGCCACTTCTCTTTTCTAGTTGCTTTTACCTCTTTGAACATAGGACTAATTGTAATACTTCCTCTCTCTTCAAAATGATCCTACAAGTACAGTACAGGTACAAAACTACAAAAACAAAAAAAGAGAAAGAAAGCAAGAAAGAAAGAAACTAAAATAACTGGTGCAGGCAAAAAAGTATCTGGAGTCAGAAACACCTCCTCTAACATTTGCAGGGAGATAGCAAGAGTACAAATGGACTATTTATAAATTTAAGAGTAATATTAGTAGTCTAATATTGCAAATGTTTTCCAGCCTCCATCGGCAACTATTGTGAATATTATGTTAATTTTTTGGTGTCTCCAGAACCACAAATTGGAATGTGAAAGAATACGTGGCATTGGCTTAGGAGCCTGTATTTTGGTGGTTATAAAATTTAGAACGGGCTAAAACTGGTAACATTTGTTAAAACTTTTGCTTGAGGTAACTTGGAAGGCAAATCATATACTTAACTAACTTGTAACCCTAGGAAAGAAAGGTTAGAAAACAGAATGTCAGTAGCATGTCGTAGTTGCTGTTGGCTGTATTTGGTAAGTATCACGGATTAAACTGTGTCCTCCTAGCTCCTCAAAAAAGATATACTGTCATCCTTAATCCCCAGTACACCAGAATTGGACATACGGATAATTATTTAAAGGAAGTCCTAATATAATCGGTATCATTATACAAAGGGGAAATTTGGACCCAGAGGCATGCATACAGGGAGAGTGCCATGTGAAGTTGAAGGCAGAAATAGGGAGATTCATCCACCGGTCAAGAGACAGCAAAGATTGTCAGTAAACCACCAAAAGCTAGAAAAGAGGCTTAAACAGATAGATTATCCCTCATAGCCCTCAGAAGAAACCCACTCTGCTGATGCCTTAATCTCAGACTTCTAGTTTCCAGAAATGGGAGACAATAAATTTCTAGTGTTTAGGCCACCCAGTTTCTGTGACTTTGTAACATCAGCTCCAGAAAACGAATATAGCAAGGTATTAGAAGGAAGAAATGTACTTAGAAAAGGATCGACCAATATGCAATCAGTAATAAAAGGGAAAAAGTCCAGGAATTTGGGGACTTAACAGGGTTAGAGAAAGCAACTGCTTTTCAATCCCATAAGGTAAAATAAACAACTGAGCAACAAACGCTGATCAAGACTCAACCTTGAGGCAAAGATCAAAACAAGGGTATGGCCATTACACTCATAGTTAAATTTGCTGAATAGGTTAAAGTGTCCCAGAGCAAGATTGTGATATCCAATAAATCTTTTCAGTTGTATGCAATGGCTTAATGAAAAGAGATTTAGGGTATGGTCTCAATCATCTGAAGAGCAGAGGGACAGCTCAAAGAATGCTCCACTCAACTCATACCCATAATCCAGACTTGAAAGACAAGCATCAATACCTTCAACAAATGTGCAATTTGGTAAAAGATGGCAAAAAGAAGAGGTGGTATTTTTATACAGCATAGGCTTCAAAAGAGGTATTCTTATCAAAAGAGTTAAAATAAGCTTCTTCCAGCACCTAGACCAGAACACCTAGACTAGTAGCTACTCAACAAATATTTGCTAATTGCAAGAATAATTGAAAGAGAACACCAGAGGAATATTGGTATTTTCTCTGCTTTTCTCTCCTGGTTCCATCACTGTGGTGGAGTGGGGCTGGGCAGGGAGGGTGGTGAGAATAAGAAACCATGTAAGCAGTATTCTCAAAGGGAATTGAATTTCATTGACAGTAAGAAGGTAGAAGGAGTTTTTATTTTAGCAGTTTATATAAGACAGTACAGGAACTCTTTGGCCCTAGCCACTCATGGGCAGGTCCTGTCATTAATTTATCACTGCCTCCCTAGCTTCATTCTTCCAAAACTAGTTCAGACCTCTTTTGAAGGCCACAAACTTCTACAATCCCAACCCTTACTTTTCAGCAGATAATGCTAATTCCCTTTTTTTACTGAAAGGATTGAAACCATCTGACATAAGCATTCCAGTAGAATCTTGTTGTCCTCTAAATTTGCGACTCTCTAGTATACTAGTCTAGTATCCCAGTATCGTTAAGACAACATATCTGGATGCCTATTTCTCTGTAAAGAGGACATTTCTGTTCCTTGCATTCATGTAAAATGTCCGTTCTTTACTAAACTGGAAATTAACACTTTGGTTCTGTTGTTCTCTGCCTTGCTCCTCCCCATCCTCTGCTTCTTCAGACCAAGAACTCTTTCTCAAGATCCCGAGGTAAATATTTCCAGATGTAGAAAATTCCCAGTTTTCTGGTTCTGGCTGCTAGAGTACAAGCATCAACAGTCCATGTGAACTACCATTATAAATTACATGGGAAAGGGAACAAACACATTAAAACTGAGTTAAAATCATTCTGCAAACTGGCCAAAGCTGGAACTGCATCTCAAGGTTCTTGATCTTCATGTACTCTGTTTGCAAACATCTTTGTTCACATTCACTTTCTTGATGTGCACCTTTATTATGAGATATCTAATCTTATCCTAGTTTTTCTAAAGCAGCAGTTTCCAACCATTTGGGCACCAGGGACTGGTTTCATGGAGGACAATTTTTCCATGGTCCAGTGGGAGGAAGACAGTTTTAGGATGACTCAAATGCATTGCATTTATTGTGCACTTTATTATTACTACATTGTAATATATAATGAAATAATTATACAACTCACCATAATGTAGAATCAGTAGGAGCCCTGAGCTTGTTTTCCTGCAACTAGATGGTCTTAACTGAGGGTGACTAGAGACAGTGACAGATCATCAGGCATTAGATTATCAGAAGGAGCACACAACCTAGATCCCTTGCATGCACAGTTCACACTAGGATTTACACCTCTATGAGAATCTAATGCTGCCACTGATCTGACAGGAGGCAGATCTCAGGCTGTACTATGAGTGATGGGGAGCAGAGATGAAGCTTCACTCACTTGCTTATAGCTCACCTTCTGCTGTGCATCCTGGTTCTTAAGAGACCACAGACCGGTACCTCTGTGGGGTACCAGAGACCCCTGTTCTAAAGCCATAAGAGTATTTTTTAAATAATATTTTCTAGATCTTCATGCTTATTGTCATATATTACCCCAGACATCACCTGGATCACATTGATCCCATGGATAGTTAAGTGAAGTTGATTTAAGCCTTCAGTTCTAGTTTGCAGAAATCCAAAGCTGTCCCCAAGACTTCTGCAAATTCCCAAGACTTATATTCTCAGTATCTCTTCTGCTCAGTTCTGCATTATGTCATTCTGAAAGCAAAGCTCGGCCTCTTCATGAATTCCTATAGGAAAGTTACCAGTCACACAAAATATAGATTTTACTGACTATATGAAGATCACAGAGCAAACATTTAAAAACTCTATACCAATCATCCCTCTTTCTCCAGAGTCCTTTCTGGCCATCCACTCCTAGGGATTTCTCTGTTGGTCCTTAACCTACAGAGTTCCCAACTTCATGTCTTTCAATAAATTCTCCTCTATTCTTCCTCCCTCCCTCTCCAGAAAACCCAGTCCCTTGTGGGGGACTTTCTAACTCCAAGGTATTTTTTCAGACAAATACTGTTTCTTCCATCATAAGAATGCTGATGCGAGCTGTTAAGTTTACAGGAGATTAGAATCTATGTTAATTTCTGGAGACAATTTACTAATTGATTCTAGTCTTGCCTTTGTTTTTTAAATAAGGAAAGTGAGCCTCAGACGTCTTACATGCCTTGCTTACTTTAGCTCTGAGAACAGTGATTACACAGACCTCCTAATTCAGAATCACATGGGTGGTTTTTGTTATAGAATGCCAAATTTACGACTGCATCTTTGCTCTATTGAACCATGATCTACTGAACAAGCTCCCCAAATAATTTTTTTCCTTCAACTTTTATTTATAAAGGTTCTCTCTCCCACATAATTTTTAAGGCCCCACAAAATTACCACTTTAGACACATCTTAAGGCCTAGGGGAAAAAAAAAAACACATGAAACACTAAAAGATGTTACAAATTTTATTTAAATCTGAGCTATAAGAATGACAGCTTGGATCCAACCAGCACCTAAAAGACTTTGAACAACTTTGAAACAAGACAAAGTAAATGCTAGTGTCATTTTGGTGGAAAGAATAACAGACTACAAGTCAAGGCTAATTGTGTGACCTTGAGCGAGTTACTTAACATCTCTGGACCTCAGGTTCCTAGGGGAAAATACTGCTTTTCCTACTTAACTCCAAGGACTATTTGAAGGATAAAATGAGATCATGTATGTGAAAACACTTCTGGGAGGAGGGGAAAATAAATAGCTCTCTGCAACTGCTAGGTACTATTTCAAAGTCTTGCTTGGGCCTGGAAAATATCAATCTTCTGCATGTTACCAGTGTGCTAGTAAGGCAGCCTGTGGAGTTTTTCAAGAAGCCTGTAGGATCCAAGTCAGGCAGCTCATTGCTCAGGCTGAGTAGCCAAAGAGGGAAACTCTTGATTCAGAACAGCATCTGTTTGCGATTAAGGTTTCAGAGGCATGTGCCTGAACTGAAGGCAACACTACAGAATTGGTCATAGAAGCAGTCCCAATTGTAAAACAGATTCTATCCTTAAAGTGGATATGAAAGGTAAACATAAAAGCATGATTCTGTAATTACATGAAACAAAATGATACTTGTTTATCATGTCCCACAGCACACACACAAGCACACACAAAGGGAAACAATAGACAGAGACTTATGTGAAAGAAAGAGATCCCCAAGCAACAACAGCCACCACCAAACTCAGAAGAGCTCACTTGAACTCTGTTAATTGCAAAATATATTTGCAGAGTGGGCCTCTTTGGCATCCACCCCTGACATGTTCTTCTTTAAAAATTCAAGTTGGGTCAATTTGGATCCTTGACAAAAAAACAAAACAAAACAAAAGACCTTATCCAAAACTCACTATGAATTCTGTCTGTGTCAGAGAACTGACTATAGTTAAAGTAAGCATGCTTAATATAACTCAAAAGACATTATGGACCCTGAACAAAGACCAAAGATCTGGGCCAGTGTGGAAAAGAGTGATCTTAGGACTTCTAGGTGGGCCAGGTAAGTGAGAAGTTCTGAGAATGGTTAGGGGGTGGAGGTAGAATGAGATCTGAAGGTTTTTATTAGTGTTATTTTGTGAAAGTGTGCATTTTATGTCTATAAAAGAAGGTGTGAGAAGTGTTCAAATTGAACTTAGAGTGAAAGTCTAGGGAGGGGTCTGCTTAAAAATATAAAGAAAAAATCTATAAATATATATATAGATAGATATAGATATAGATATATAAATATAAAGAAAAAGGCCAGCCTAGAGTTTAAGGTAAGTAAGAATTTACTGATCAAATTATAAATCTCAGTTGAGGGCACATGAATAAAAAAACACAATGTCTCTATCAGGAGAAAATCCTGGTTTTATGTGGAATATTTAGAAGATACCCAGAAGATCAGCAACTCCAATAGCCAGCTGGTTTAAGTTCCATCTTTCTAGAAACATTTGAAGCAAAAGCATGGAGAGCTGTGCCTATGCCCAAAGCAAGTGACCAAAAAAAGAGAAAAGAAGGCCAACGTTACCATGTGATAGATGGATCTAAGGACAATCTCAGTACAACAAAGCTGCTCCAGGAAAGCAGAACGCTGGTCCTGTGGGACCAGTCATGGAGGCCAAAGGAGGGACAGAATAGATGAACTACAGTCATTTCTATTTGGTTAGAAGTGTGTTTGTTTTTCCTTCAAAAACGGATGGTCACCTTGTAAATTCAATCTGGCCATAAACCACTCAAATCCGTCTTACAGAAACTACTTCTTTAGGACATCCAGCAAACTAAAAATATAAAATTGTGGGATGAGGTTGGTGAGGTCCCTTAACTAGCAATGAAAAGACCTGGGTTCTAGTCCCATGTCAATTCCTAGCTGAGGTGGGATTTAGGGTGGGGCATTTAGCCTGTCTATATATCTTCTGGAAGCCTGCAGTGGTAGGACAGTGAAAGAAGGTAGGGAAAGATGGAAAGATGATCTCCAAGGTCTCTTCCAGTTATCACAGTCTATAATTCCAGTTAGCATATAAAATAATTGAAGTCAAAATATTACTGGTAGCTACCTGTGTGGAATGGGATTGGAGCAAGGGTAGAGAGACAATTGGAAATAAAACATTTGGAGAATATTTTTGATGAGGAAAAATACAATGGCCGAAGAGATTTTTAAATGAAATATTAAGCAAGAAAGGTTCAAAATGGTATGTAAAATAATAAAATCTAGAAGGTCAGCTATCAAGACATTACTAGTAGTTGGCGTCTAAGCATGGAGGGAAAGAGTGAAGGGACTTGGGAGAACCCATGGCGTAATTATTTTATTGTTTCTTTTCCTATTGTCCTTGCTGAAAAAGCCCATGGCAAAGCTATTGGAGGCCACTCAATTCCATCTAATTCCTCTTTGTCCTTGAGGGACAAACACTCCATGCCCAGCAACAGGAGAAGGAGGTGTGATAAAGGGGCTGCCTGGGAGCCTGTTCTTCAGCTTTCTGTATAATACACCATCTGGTTTCCTGACAAAAAGTGAAGAAATCTGAGTTTGTCTTCACCCCACATGGATCATGCTACTTTCCCTGGAGATTTCAGCATCATCACTGTGGCTTCTTATTTCACCATGGCTCTCTTCTCTGTCACCATCAGCTTCAGAGTCTACAAGTCTGTCATTCAAGCTGTACAAAAATCCAAGAAGGCCATGCAATTGAACTGTTTTCAGAGTTCATAAATTTGCCATAATTATGAGAGTGACCACTTCATTGGACCTCAAAACTCATCATTTGTCTGTTTCTGGTGGAAGATCTGGCCATCTTCATGTGGCCAATGACCTCAGTTGGTGTAGTTCCATAGAACTGCCCTTCCAATCTTTGCCAAACTGTACATTTTCAGCATTCCAATGAAAAGTACAAACCCAGATTGATTATTATGTTGTGTTGCCAGGTATCAGACCAAGACAATTGTTGAAGGACCCAAGCAAAACTCTCTGGCACTCCAAATAAAAAAGCAGAATAAACACATGAAAATCACAGATGTGACAAGTTACTAAATCACCATTGAAGAGTTATAACATTGCACTTGAACCATAAAGGAATATGTCCAATGTTCACTTCCAAACTTTAGAAATGTTGAGGTTTTCTTACCTCCCTTCTCTGCAGTCTCAGTACCAAGCTCCAGAATAGGTTAAGCTGAAAATGAATTGATAGCTTAGAAACCAAAATAAGGAAAGATTCAAATTATTAGGATAAGCCAGAACCTCTAAAGGTGGTGGAGTTTTTGTCCACAGCTTGAAAAAGCAAAGGGTGAAGATAAATATGGAAATGAAAGATAAAGCACACTTCTCTGGTTCTCTAAGGCTTAAACTAGTTTTCTATCATAATTTTGTCCTTATTTTTAAGTTAAGGAATTAGGATTACCCTACAAAAGTTATTTGGGGAAAGGAGTAGAATAATTCCTATCTAGCTAACTTTTACATAATCTTTCACATGGATTATTTTTACTCTCCTCTGACCTCATCTCCTTGTCCCATAAAGTGAGCAGTTACTCTTATTATCATTTCCTTTTCCTCCACCTCACTGGTCAAAATAACTTGCTATTCTATTAATAACTCATAGGTGACACTGATAATTCCTGAATCATAAAATTCCATCTGACGAACTAGATTAAAAACAGAAAATAAAGCCATCGAGGGGAACACTCCCTTCCCTGCTTTCCCTTAGGAAAGGAACACTCACTTCCCTGCTTTCCCTTAGGAAATAGCCCCCCGACTGGGAAAGAAGGTTTCTGTCCTATTTCCTCTGGACATGATGTTGAGCTTGAATGTGAGAAAAGTGCTTCCTGCCCTCTCCTCTGTCTACCTCACTCCAAGCTTAACAGACAAGGTTGTGGTTTTCTTAGGAAATTAAATATCTGTAACTTCTATAAAAATAATACTAGTGGTCACCTCTGGGTAAATGAAGACGCAAGCAGTTCACTCTAACTCACTAAAGTATCAATTAATAAATAAGTATAGTAGATGATTCATAATTTGGAAAAACACCTAAATGGAGTAATAAAGAAAAATCTCTTGGAAGTTATATCTCTGATAAAGAAAAAATACCTAAAAAGTGAAATCTCTGCTACATTTTAAAACCACTTAAAATTGATTTAAATCCTGTGCCTGTGAACTGGAGGAAGAGAAGGTTTATATTGGGCACATTTATTGCTGCTTGATCACCAAAAATCACTTGATGAAGTCAGTGCCTCACTTAGTCTCTGTTGTAGCTGAGCAATCTTCCCAATAATACAGGTCTCCAAAGTTTTTATGATATGGAGAAAGTACCATAGAAAGATAGTGGAGTAAGTTTAAATAAATAAATAAATAAATACCTTATATCTCGCCTTCTGTAGCTGAAGATGCTCCTAAACCTAGTTTGAAACTTCATTACCTTTTAAGTCCAAAGAGTGAAGATAAGTAACAAAGATAAGGTGAGGGAACAAAGATAAGGGCAGATTCCGGTCCATGCCAACACTAATTCTGAGTCTAAGATTTATATTGTTGGTTAAAAGGAGATGTAACTTAAAATACTAATCCCTAAGTATCTCAGGTTCAGAACAACAAAAATTAAATAAGTGTTCTGATAACATAATAGGAGAAATATCATGAAGCTCACATAGCTGAACACTGTTCTTACCTAACTTTGTTTTCCTTTTTTACGGAGACACAGAACCCACAGAAGCAAAAACGAATGGGTTTTGTATAATCCTGGCCTTCTCCTAGAGCCTAATTATTTGTTCTCAGAAACTTAAACCACTTCACTATACTGAAGCAGGCCAGAAAGTTTGCAGGTAGAGCTGAGCCAAAGAGTCTGGTTTGGTTATAGGAGCCAAAACACGAGTCGACCCATTTAAGCTGACTAGACACATAGGCAAAAGAAAATACATAAATTTATATGTGTGTGTGTGTGTGTGTGTGTGTGTGTGTACGTGTTGGTCTGCATAGTGTTTGTGCATATGGCCACTGGGGCTGACAGGGAGTAACAGTGTATTTTCACTGGCTTGTCTTTTCATTGGCTCATCTTTTCTGTTGGAGGCAGAGCAGCAGTGCTAGATCCTGATGACTTTAATTTGCCTACCTTGTTTCTTGACAAGCAGGAATAGAAATTACACTAGTCTGTGTTATTTCAGTAACTGATACAACTCTTTAGGAGGTTCCCCACCCCCACTTAAAGCATCTTTTTGTTAAACTCAAATAAGCTTCCAAGATTCTGTATGGTATTTGAGGTAAAGAGAGAGTTCTTATTATTTATGTATTCAATAAATGCTTGCCCTTCCTAATATTTACACTAAATTGTGCTATGGCACTATGGGGGGGAAAGCAAATAAAAAAGAAACATGCAGAACACATCAAATCTTAAATTCTAATTGTAGGATAAGAAAATATTTATTCATAATGTAATATTCCCTTTAAAAAAGCACAAACTTTGGGAGGCTGAGGCGGGTAGATCACGAGGTCAAGAGATTGAGACCATCCTGCCCAACATGGTGAAACCCTATCTCTAGTAAAAATACGAAAATTAGCTGAGAGTGGTGGCGTGTACCTGTAGTCCCAGCTACTCGGGAGGCTGAGGCAGGAGAATCGCTTGAACCTGGGAGGCGGAGGCTGCAGTAAGCAGAGATCATGCCACTGCTCTCCAGCTTGACAACAGAGTAAGCCTCCATCATAAAAAAAAAAAAAAAAAAGCACAACTTTCTTTTTTCTTTTTTTTTCTGTCTCTCAAAATATATGGATTTAGATATACGTATATGGATAAATATATAAAAATAGATAATATATAGCTATAGATAAATAACTCTCCCTGATACATAAGAATTTTCTTTCTGTGTCCCATATAGATGTATTTGCACACGCAGGTCTGGACCTGGATAAAATAGTAAAATGGGTGGCCTCCACCTTTATGGCTTCCCTACATTCCTGTAACTTTTCTGTCCTTTCAGGGTCTATTTCACTCATGATTACCCCGACTGCCAAGGGTCTTCCACCATGCCTCTTCACTCAGCAGTCCATTCTGGACCTTGCAAATTCTCTCTCCTCCCAACTCCACTGTGCCACTGCAACTCCAGTGTGCAGCTCTCTGAAGATGGCTACTCAGATACACCAATTTCGCCAAAGCTTAAGAAGTGCTGGTAGATTACCAGCAGGCAGCATGGTATGCTGTGTGGAAGCATTGTTCCTGGGTTGAGTTAAACAATTGTGTGGAATCCTGGCTCAAGCATTTACCAGTTCTGTGATATTGAACAGATTACTTAACTTCTTCATGTTTCGGTTCCTTTTAGGTCAGATTGGGTAAAGGGGGATGGTGGCTAATATCATATTTCATCTAATCTATGATGCTTTCTTATTGTCACTCTCACCATGATTTTATGTGCCACTTACAGAACAAGAATACTCTAAATTATGTTTGTAAGATGTCACTGATTGTAGGCCGGGCGCGGTGGCTCACGCCTGTAATCCCAGCACTTTGGGAGGCCGAGGCGGGCAGATCACGAGGTCGGGAGATCCAGACCATCCTGGCTAACACGGTGAAACCCCATCTCTACCAAAAATACAAAAAAATTAGCCGGGCGTGGTGATGGGCGCCTGTAGTCCCAGCTACTCGGGAGGCTAAGGCAGGAGAATGACGTGATCCCGGGAGGCGGAGCCTTCAGTGAGCCAAGATAGTGCCACTGCACTCCAGCCTGGAGTCTGGGCGACAGAGGAAGACTTTGTCTCAAAACAATAACAACAACAAAAAAAGTCACTGATTGTAAAACATCCCAATTTTAGAGTGCTAAAATGTGAAAAGTGTCTTAAAAATGATTAAATACAATAGTACCAATTTCATAAGTATTATATATTATATATATTATATAGCCATACTATATTTAATAAGCATTAAGAGAGCCAATGTACAGTCCTTAGCATAATGTTAGGCACAAATTAAGTGCTTAATTGTCAGCTAATATTAAGATCTTACTCCTGCCAGACAACAGACTTCATTTTAACAAAAATTTCTTTAAACAGTATGCCTTAACATACTGATGGAGAATAGAGGCTTAGAGCTGGTGGAAACATACCTTAAGGTGACTTAGACTTTTCCATGCCCTCTTATAGGACTGCTCCAACTTAAAGGCCTAGTGACACTGATATGGCTTGGCTATGTCCCCACCCAAATCTTATCTTGAATTGGAGCTCCCATAATTCCCATGTGTCATGGGAGGGACCTGGTGGGAGGTAATTAAAACTTGGGGGCGGGTTTTAATGATGCTCTTCTCATGATGGTGCTGTCCTCATGATGGTGAATAAGTCTCACGAGGTCTGATGGTTTTATAAATGGGAGTTTCCCTACACAAGCTCTCTTGTCCACCGCTACCTAAGATGTGACTTTGCTCCTCCTTTGTCTTCTGCCATGATTGTGAGGCCTCCCCAGCCATGTGGAACTGTGAGTCCATTGAACCTCTTTCCTTTATAAATTACCCAGTCTTGGGTATGTCTTTATTAGCAGCGTGAGAACAAATACAGACATAAATCTGGGATCAGAACTTTTGTCACAATTTAGACACATTTTTCACTATATTAAACTTTTTAATCACTTTCATAATTAGATGAAGACATAAAATATAATACCAGGTTTATAAAATATATATACATACCAGTTTCCTGGCTTACTAGCTTTCTTATGCTTTTTAAACCTGCAAGTTTATTTCACCTACAATTTATTTTAAGTTTATTTTACCTATGATTGTTTATTCTCAGGGTACAAAGACAAAACAGGGAAGAACACCTTTACACTACCAGAAATCATAGTTATCTCTCAGAAGAATGAATTATAGAACAAGAATATTTTAGCACTCACATTGAATGAGACAAATGCCCCATCTTTAGAAATGGAATCCTGTTATCTTTATGTTAAATTCAACCCAGAAAACCTTAAGATAACACTCATCCAGGAGTTGAATATGATGTACATAAAAAATGTAATACCCATACAACATGCTGCAAAGCATCATTTTTAAAAAATTGATCTTCAGTTTAGTCTGCAGCTTAATAACTGTTTATGCCAGTATGTCTGTCAGCTTAGTAGTATACTAAATCTGTTCATGTGATTCTCTAATGACTTGACTTCAAGTGCCACAGTTGACAATATGTTGCCACAATTTCATAACTTCATAAAAGCTTTTATCATGCTCTTGCCAAAAATTTAGACTGTGTCTATTTATAACCAATCAACCATTTTCAAGCAGTTGGTCATTTTTATCTCTCACATGAGCAATACGCTGTAATCTGAAGTGGTTAAGAGATTGCTTAAAACTTTATATACACTTGCCAAAGACAAGTTGATCAATTATTTTAGACCTATACCTGGGTTATTCATACCAATATTCACCAGCTCAGACAGAATTTAGGAATAGCGCTTACCAGAAGACAGTTATTCCAATTTGCAAGCCCAAGGCTGGAGTAATCATACTCATCCTACATGTAGCACTCTCTTCTACTGTACTACCATTTTCATATACCTACTTGAAGTATGTATTAACATTGTAGGCTCTCCTGTTAAATAATATACTTACTTGAAGACAGAAATTGCGCCTTATCCCTCTTGGCACATTCCTTTACCCATCCTGCTTTTTCTCCACAATGCTTCATACACAGTGGAAGTTTAAATTTGTTCAATTAAATTATATATGTCTCTACCCTTCTGCAAATTGTACTTGAAGGAAAAAAACACATAATTCTACACAAGTTCTTGAAATCAAAAGCCTAGGAAGACTTGACAATGAATGTACTTTTAAGTTTCTCCTAGTTAAGAGAAGCCTTGGGGAGAAAAGAAAATATGCCACACCAAATATAATAGAACTATTACCAACAAATGGCTCTTATTAACTGGAATGATTTTTGCTTGGTACCCAGCTACGGGAGATTGGAAAGATCCTCTAGAAGGATTATAAATGTAATGCATTTTATAAGACAAGGTGGGTCTACGAATGCTACTCAGAACACTCCCTAGACCACAGTTCTTCAAGGAGATAACTATGTTTTCAAGAAACTCTGAAGCCGTCTGCTTCCTGCTAGTTAGAATCAAGTCAATCAACTAAAGCAGAAAAATACCCTAGAGGTTGACACTGGTTCCAAGGAACTTGAAGGAACCTTAGAGGTCATTCAGTGAGTCTAGTCAACTCCTTCCTTTTGCAAATGAGAAATTTAAGCCTCCGGCTGAGTATATGACTTGACCAAGTTTCTAAAACTTATCAGAGACAGAACTGTGAAAAATCCAGATATTTGGATTCTTAAAAATATTTTTACTGGGTTGTAATTTTAGTGTAGCTTTGACTAGGAAACAAACTAATTGTAATTTATCTCTAGTACATTTTACATGTGGCAAAAATAATACATTCTACAGAGTATGAGACCACAGAATAACATGTCAATTTAGGGTCAGATCATAGGCTTTGCACATAAACCCACTCACAATAACATTATTCAAGGACATCTAGCCTCAAATGTTGCATTACTTCTGTAGGTCCTACTCTAAATATGCCTGGAATCTTCTCCCCAGCCCCACAGCCTTTGTCTTGGCCTCTATCACCTTTCTTGGGTCCCTACAACAGGCACTAAACTGCTCTCTCTTCTCTAAGACTCTCAAACATTGCAGTCAACTTTCCCCTTTGCCACAAAAAGCTTGGTTCTTTATATTATCCCTTGCTTTAAAACCTCCATAAAATCCAACATCAAAGGGCTTTCAAAAACTGGCTTCTACAGCTACTCCCCATCCCTTGACATCACCCTCTGAACTTGTCACGCTTTTCTGAACACCTACTTCCTACCTTGGCACATGACGTTCCTCAAGCCGGAATGATCTTCTGTCACTCTCATCCCATACTTCACACTAATAGAATTCTCCACCTGAAGACACTGAAGGCCAGTCCATATGCCAATATCTTAATGAAGGTTTTTCTAATTCCTCCATACAGAGTTAGTTGCTTCATTCTAAAATAGTTGTTTTCATAACATCACTTGGCTTGAAGGAAAAAAGAGGCCACTAGAAGGTATTAAATAGGAGGGTAATAGTAATCAGGTTTGTGGATTTAAAGGATTACACTGGCTTCTGTGAGGAGCAAGAGGAGATGCAGAGGAGACACGTGAAATATTACTGAGTTTGTTCAGATGACCGAGTCTTCAACTAGTGGGGCAGTGGATGTGGAGAGAAGTGTGTTTACAAGATTTGGTGATGAATTAGATGACAGAAATGAAGAGCAAAGGGGGGTATCAAAAATGACCCCGAGCTTTCTAGCGTGAGCAAGTGGGGAGAGTGTCATGTTACTTACTGAAATGGAAAACACTAAAAGAAGACCTGGTTGTTGTTTATTTATGCTTATTTGTATTTTGTTTTGTTTTTTAGTAGGAGCACGGGGAAATTATAAATTTAGTTTCGGATGTTGAAGTTGAAGTGGCATCTATTGATACCAAAGTAAGAGCTGTTGATATATGGGAGCTAGGGTGTTAGGGACGATGTTCTATATTTGTGATATAATTCCAGAAGGTATTGACATACAAATGGTGATTCTACATGAAAGAGATTGAATCTGCCTGGGGAGGGAGAAAAGGAGAGGGCCTGGTACTCATCTTGCCACTGTTCTTTTTTCTCCTTTCTTCCCAAAGGGTTGAATATACCTGCTTACCACGACTGCCTCCTTATTTCTCACACAATTTGGCTCTGCTCTTCCTACTCTATGAAAATTATACTTAATTGGCTTCAAAGACTCCTAGTTGACATAATCAATGGTGTTTTCCATTCCCCATTCTGCATAGCCTGTCTAAAGTATGAGATACTGCCAATCACTACTATTATTTTGAAAACTCATAACTTGTTTGACTTCTATGACTCTATCATATTCTGGTTCTTTTCTTTACCTTTCAATTGCTTTGTTTTCTGTCTCTTTTACTGTCTTTTTTCCACCTTTCATCACCTAAATCTCGTGTGTCCTACATCT
The DNA here is from genome assembly GCF_000001405.40 of Homo sapiens. NCBI lineage: Eukaryota > Metazoa > Chordata > Mammalia > Primates > Hominidae > Homo > Homo sapiens. The sequence continues at coordinate 102,222,031 of NC_000012.12, read as the reverse complement.
CACAGCTCAGATATTTGCTTTTCCATTTTTAGCATTTCTAAGCCTTCAGGTGATATTTACCTCTCCAACTTTGGTTGTTACTTATATATAAATGGTCACCATTTTTTGTTACTAGTCCTGATCTCTCTCATAAAATTGAGTCCTGCATTTCCACCTGCTTATTAGAAGACATGCCACTATCTCAAGAGCAATTCACTTAAAACAAAGCCTATTTTCTACCCTTAACCCCAACCTGACCTATTTTCCAGATTTCTCATTTATGATAATCATTATCCCTGATACGCAGGTTCAAAATCATACATTAAGCCAAAAGGTGTCATTTTTAAGTTGTCCCTCACTTCCCATGTCTAGCAATCTCAAAATTATATTGATTCCTTGTTCTCTTCCTAATGTTTCTCCTTCCAGCACTGTAGCCACTACTACACACTAGATTTTTTATCATCTTTTCTTAGGCAAGTGCAAATTTTCTAATCAATTGTCGTATCTTCAACCATTTTCTTTCCCACTTACCCTGTTACTACCTGCGTTATCTTCCTAAAACACTACTTCACCATTTCAATCCTCATCTCAAAAACTTAAAACAGCTCCTTGCATCTATGACAAAAAGCCCACAGCCTTCCAAAATCCGGCTTTATCCTACCTTTTAAGCTCTAATACCCACTACTCTCCTACATCAACTCTGTGTTTAAGCCCAGCAAAGAGGTCTTCTCATTGTCCTTCACACACACAGCATGCATTTTCCAGCCTCTGATGCATCAATTTCTCACCTCTGAAACACGTGCTCACTAGTCTCTAAATGCATATACCTTTCAAAGGAGAACACTAATTTCACCTCCTCCATGAGGACTCAGACCATCCCCATCTGGAAATGATTACTTCCTTGTTTGGAATTGACTGTCCCTGCCACTTAATAGGCATTTAACATTCAGATTTGTTTCATTTCCTCAACCACTGGTTCAATCCCTAAGTACAGAACTTTACACAGTATGTATTGGTTGCCCAATAATAGTTTTGATAAATATTCAGAATCAAATTTTAAAATTTCAAGTTATTAAAGAATATGATATTCCTACAGTTCCACTATTAACTGTAATCATTATTGCATCATTATTAGTTCAGAAAATAGTTCTAGGAGATCTCCAAATTTTGAAAAGTTTACTAGATGGATTTATATTCTAAGAAACAGATTTGCTCCCTGTAGTTCTAAAGTACATAAAGAAGGAAAGAAATTAGATACTGACATCATCAAAGCATAATATTAAAACAATATTTTAAAAGAAATGCAAAAAAAAAAAGGAAAATTTCAAGTTACAACAAATACCATTAACCACATTTCACTGGCTGTGATTCAGATTTCATGTGAGTTAATTCAAATTTCATAGTAACATGATTCCATATAATAGCAGAAATAATCACTTAAAAGGGTGGTGAATGCTTAATATAATCCAACTAAAATCACTACGTATATCCTCAATTAAGAGAACAAGCTAGTTTGATAAGAATATAGATACTTTGGGGGAATATTTATGGCACTTATTAACTGGAACCTTGTTAGTTAAGTCACTTCTATTATCTGGCAAATCTGTCTCTACCTAAATAAGAAAACACGAACTTTATTAAATTTTCAGTATTTCTGGATGCTCTGAAGCCCCAAATAGTCCGGAAATCCTCTGAGATTGTGTGCTTCAGAAATTCAGCAGGCTGCTGATGCTTTGCCCCTTTAGGCTGTGCTCCACATCTGCAGAGCCTGAGGCTCGACCTCATTTTGCTCTGCAGTATTTGATAAGTGATCAACTGTAAATGAGGTGACATACTCTATTGGGTATGTTTAAAAATCAACTGAGGTTTTCTAGATTATTTCAAAATAAATCCTTTTTGAATTTGTTTTTGTTCTAAGATGTTTCATTGTTGATTATTGAACTGGTCCAAAAGATCTTTGAGGACATTTTTCCCCCTATGTTGTATACCTCTGCCTGGAATATATTATCCTATGCCAGATATAATGAAGCCACTCAATAAATAGTCATTAAATTAAATTCTTATTCTTGGAAAAAATAAATTGTATCCAAGGAGGATAGGGTCTAAATTATTGGGCTCTCTTTGAAGTGGAAAATTTTGTTTCAGAAGTCAACTAGGTAAAGAACTACAGTGGTTCTCCTGGGATGACTTTTGAAATGAAAGTTGACCAGGAGGGAAATCACGATGACAGACCTTAACTCTATTGGATTTAATCACCTATGAAAGATCTTCCCTGTTGCGCACATCAGGAGGGTTATTAATTGGATGCAGGCCACTCAATCGGTTTCAAAAGTCAGCTCTCTCTGAAGGAATTGGAAAGAATGGTTTCATAATTCCTATAGTAAGAGGAGCTGCCACAGTAAAATAGCAGCAATTGGGGTTAGGTAGGTCCCCTTTCCCATGCAGATTCCCCAGTGTTTTTATTTCTTGGTTTTGTTAAAATAAGATCCAAGTTATGGTTTCATAATTTCCCCTAGCCCTGAAATGAAGTTACTACAGCCGTTAAACTGAAATAACTCCACTAGCTGCATAGAAAACCTTTGTCCAAGATTCAAACCAAACTGAATGTTTGAGGGTTTGGGTTGTTTTGAGTTTTCTAAACTTCAAGCTTAAATTTTCATGAACCTTACTGCACTTCCTGATATTTTCTGGGAGAGAGAGTGGAAAAAGTGACCTCTTTAGTGCCAGTCTTGGAAACAGCCCTCCAAGTGTTGTAACTAACTGCATGAAGGGAGATAAGCCTAGATAGAAATATAGTAAGATGATCGACTCTGAATCTATTTTTAAAAATTATTGCTGAAGCCTGCTCTTAAATTGTAGTCTTCTAGTCCCTCCCATTTAATCAAAACATTCAGTAGCAAAATTGGAGTGCTATGTTTCTAAAACCTGTTGTCACAATGACAAAAAATAGCCAGCAATTTTAGTTCAGAATTATATATTACCTATCATAACAATAACAACTAAGTATGAAACAACCATGGCAATATCCTCAATGCCATCTTAGAAATGAAACTGCATGGAAGAGAGGGGGATGACCAGATTTAAACCTTTAGGCTTGGAAGATTCATTGAATGGAAATGGAATGGAAAATGGAATTGCATGAAGAAAAGAGGTTGTGTGAGAAGCAGAGGAAGGAGGAAAAATAAGACTTGGCAATGCCATTTGGTGTGGTAAAGACAGTGAAAGCCATGGATTACACATACAATTAAGGATTGTGTTATTCTCAATAAGTTTATTGCAGTCTATTCCTGGCTTGGATGGATGCTAGTTCAGAGACCACCTCCATCAATGGAAGCTTCAGATTTCCATATTGATGGTCCATGTCAAGAGAAAGTTTCAAGGAAGACTAATCACCAAAAATCAAGGATGAAAGAGGTAATATAATCACAGCATCACTACCACCATCTCATTCTTCATCACGGTGATGGGTAAGTTAATCATACAGAAATTCACACTGTGACTAAATATGAAGTCAAATGCACCTGAAGTCACTTGGCATGAGCTTTTGCTTAATAAAGAAACACCATACTGATACAGTCAGAGCCTCTCTGTTAAGAATTATAAAGGGAATCATTTGGGAACAAGCCAAATTCTAAATGATGTTCTCTATGAGCCCTGCTGAACAACCTTATCTTGGAAATCCTGGGTCCTAGGCCTCTTCACTTCTCCCAATATAGAGCCCCCATAAACCAAACGTAACTTGGACATTTCTCTAAAGGCAAGGCTGGTTCATCCGATTCAGATTCTTAATCACCACGACCACCACCAATATTTGGAAATAAAAAATATTTATTCAATTCTTTGTAAATATTATCGTGAACAGTCAAAACTACCCACAACTACTCTGTAGGTTGGAACATATTCAAACAAAACTGACCACAGGGTGATCATCACGTGTGGGGAGTTTTTTTTTTGTTTGTTTTTGTTTTTTTTTTTTTGAGACGGAGTGTCACTCTGCCGCCCAGGCTGGAGTGCAGTGGCGCGATCTCGGCTCACTGCAAGCTCCGCCTCCCGGGTTCACGCCATTCTCCTGCCTCAGCCTCCCGAGTAGCTGGGACTACGGGCGCCGCCACCACGCCCGGCTAATTTTTTGTATTTTTGGTAGAGACGGGGTTTCACCGTGTTAGCCAGGATGGTCTCAATCTCCTGACCTCGTGATCTGCCCGCCTCCGCCTCCCAAAGTGCTGGGATTACAGGCGTGAGCCACCGTGCCCGGCCAGGTGTGGGGAGTTTTAAAGTCATGGCAAAAGGGAAACTGCTAGTCACACACAACAGGAATACTGAAAATCAAGAAAACTGATCAAATTACGCATTGGTACAGGGGGAAGAAGTGCCAATCTGGAGCTGTGGAATCACCGGGAGTCAGTACTGGATAGCCGGGGATAAAATAAGTTATGTAAGCCAGGTACATTGGCACACAACTGTAGTTTCATCTACTAGGAAGACCGAGGCAGGAGGATCGCTTGAGCCTGGGAGTTCTGGGCTGTAATGTGCTATATACAAATGGGGTGCCCACACTAAGTTAGGCATCAACATGGTGACCTCCCAGGAGTGGGAGACCACCAGGTTGCCTAAGGAGGAGTGAACCACTCAGGTTGGAAATGAAGCAGATCGAAACTCCCGTTCTGATCGGTAGTGGGATCATGCCTGTGAATAGGCAACTCTAGCCTGGGCAACACAGTGAGACCCCATCTCTTAAAAATAATTAAATAAGAAAACAAAATGAGTTATAAATCAACTTTTAACAACTATTCCTGCATCAAAGCATATTTCCTATATGCATTGTGATATAATCAATAATAGAGATCACTTATTTTTAGTTCTTTTTTTATAACAAGGCTTAATTTAGAAAACTCAGAATACAGATAGGCACAAAGAAAAGTAAATACATGTATTTTAACTACCTATAATCCCACTACCCAGAAATAACACTACTGATATTTTACCATATACTTGGTTCTCCCTGTGTGTCTGCATCCACAGATTCAACCAACTGTGAATGGAAAATACTCTAAAACAAAACAATTTAAAAAACACAATAATAATAAACATTTTAAAAATTACATATAACAACTATTGACATAGCATTTATATTGTATTAGATGTTGTAAGTCATCTAGAATTGATTTAAAGTATCTCAGAGAATGTGCATAGGTTATATGCAAATATTACACCATTTTATATAAGGGACATGAGCATCCCTGGATTTTGGTTTGGTGTCCTGGAACCAATGTCCTGTGATAGGTAGGAATGATTGTATAGTCTTTGAGACACACAAACATATACACGACCAGAAAGAAATATATGCTTGATGTTTTTTAAATGTATCTTACAATGGTTTTGTATTTTTCTTTAAATAATATAGTAAATAATTATTTAAATAATATATTAAAAGCTTTTTTCCGTGTACAAATATATAGTCATGTGTTGCATAATGACATTTCAGTCAATGACAAACTGCAGATATGGAGGTGGTCCCATAAGATTATAATGAAGCTGGAAAATTCCTATTGCCTAGTGATGTCATCGTGCAATGCATGACTCACATGTTTGTGGTGATGCTGGTATAAACAAATCCACTGCAGTCCCAGTCATATAAAAGTACAGTGCATATGATTATGTACACTACATATTTGATCATAATAAATGATTATCTTACTGATGTATGTGTTTACTATACTTTTAATCATTATTTTAGAGTATACTCCTTCTACCTCCAAAAAAAAGTTAACTGTAAATAGTCTCAGGCAGGTCCATCAAGAGGTATTACAGAAGGCATTGATATTATAGGAAATGACAGCTCCACGAGTATTGTTGCCCCTGACGATCCTGCAGTGAGACAAGATGTGGAGGTAGAAGCCAGTGATATTAATGATCCTGACCCTGTGTAGGCCTAGGCTAATGTGTACGTTTGTGTCATAGTTTTTGAACAAAAAATTATAAGTAAAAACATAAAAAATTTAAAAATAGAAAAAAGCTTACAGAATAAGGTTATAAAGAAAATATTTTTTGTATAGCTGAACTATGTGTTTGTGTTTTAAGCTGTTATTACAAAAAAATAAAATGTTAAAAAATTTAATTCATAAAATAAAAAAAGTAAGCTAGGGTTAATTTATTATTGAAGAAAGAAAATTTTTTAAAATAAATTTAGTATAACCTAAATGTAGACTTCTTAAGTCTACAGTAGTATAATGTCCTAGGCCTTCATATTTACTCACCACTCACTCAATGACACTGAGAGCAACGTCCAGTCCTGCAAGCTCCATTCATGGGAAGTGTCCTATACAGGCATACCATTTTAAATATATATACATATATATATTTTGTTTATATATACATTATTCTGTTTATATATATATAAACTGTATTTTTACTGTACCTTGTCTATGTTTAGATATGGCTAGATACACAATCACAATACCATCATGTTGCAATTGCCTACAGTATTCAGTACAGTAACATGCTGTACAGGTTTATAGCCTAGGTGAAATAGTCTATACCATATAGTCTAGGTGGGTAGTAGGCTATATTATCTAGATCTGGGTAAGTACAATCTATAAAGTCCTCAGAACAAAATCACCTAACAAAGCATTTCTCAGAGCATGTCCCTATTAAGTGGCATATGATTGTAATTATGTTTGGACTGCATTTTCTGATAAGGACTTATAGAGTTCTAACTTTACTTTTTCCCAAGCGATTAGACCATTATGTTAAACTAGTCATTGTACAAAATAACTTTTCCTCATTGATTTGAGTGTAATTTTTAGCTTATAATAAATTATAACAAACAGTTGGGTATATTTCTGAGCTTTCCACTCAATTCATTTATCTACCTATTCCTGGTTCCATATGTACCATATTTTAATTACTATAGCTTTAAAAAAATGTTTTGCTATCTGGAGGTAAGACCCTATGCAGAATTATTTCCCTAAAAATGTATAGGCTATTTTATCAGATGATCAAGTTTTTAAAAAATCTTGTGTTTAAAAATTTGGGAAGTTAAAAAATTTATTTCCACACTTCTCTTTGCATAGAAAAACTGAATTCTGATTTATTTAAACACCCATACTTTGAATTTCTATTACTAAGCTAATTATTATAATTATTGTTATTATTGTTTTTGAGGCAGGGTCTTGCTGCTGCCCAGGCTGGAGTGCAGTGATCTGATCTTGACTCACTGCAGCCTTGATCTCCTGGGCTCAAGTGATCCTCCCACCTCAGCCTCCTGAGTTTGGCTAATTATTAACTGGTACAATAAGCCCCTGATTATTACATCAACAGTGTCAGTGTCCAACAATACAAAGCACACAGATACACCATTTTAGAGAAGTCTGGATGAAGTTGCAAAAATCAACAAAAAGAAAATAATTCTCAGAGGTGGAAATTATATGTCATACCCCCTTCCATATTAAAGAACTGCTAGGGCTTAACAGCATAAGCAAGACTTGATGATGTGAAGAGAGAAACAAAATCAAAATAATAATGGTAAAGTGTCAATCTTCATGGTTTATCTTCTGCAACTTTCTATGTAATGTCATCAGCAACATCAGTAGCAACAGCATCAAAACACTTATTAGGCATCTGTATAACTTCAAATTATACAGGGATAACTACTGCTTGAATGAATTTGACAGCATAATTGTTGCCTTTTAGGGAACATTCATATGTGCTCATGTCACAACATATGAAGGGCTTAAAGATACAAAGATTGTCTTCAACAAGAAAAACATAATTTTTGGCAACTTCCAGGACACATCATTTCTTTCCATCATTGGCAAGACCTTGGCTGGAATTCTTTTGGATCAGCTACTACTCAATGATGGCAACTGTGCTTCTAGAATAACTGTGGCTTTAAACCACAGGGCAACTGACATAATCTTTGCTCTATGTCAAAAATAAGAAAAATAACAAAAACAGTCTGAACAGAACTAAATTTATTGACTGCACTGAAATTTTAATGTTACTTGCAGACCTTAACTATAAATTACTAGCTAGCTTTTTGTTCCTATGATTTGTCAGTATCTAAGAAGATGATGGGACTGTACACATTAGTCAATTAATCAACAGTCATTTAAACATCTACTATACAACCAGCACTATAGAGACTATAGTTATTTGTATGATTATCTACTTAATGACTGCTCTTCCATGAGAATACAAGCTCCATACAGAAAGGCCTGAGGCTATTGTGTCTACCCCTGAATTCCCAGTGCCTAGTAGAGTGCCTGGTATATATTATTAGAGGCAAAACAAACATCTGTTGAGCAAATAAAGGTACAGTATAAGAGAATTACAAGACACAATTCCTTACATTTCCCCACTGTGGATACAAAACATAAAATGATTATATCTTATTATCTAGCTCAATGTTCAGAGTTCCTACTGTTTGGAGCAGTGCTGTATAATAGAACTTTCTGTAATGATGAAAATGTTCTATATCTACACTGTTCAATATGGTAGCTACTAGCCACATGCAGCACTGGAGCACTTGAAATGTGGCTAGCGCAACTACTCTATGCTACCCCATTCTCATCTTTTTCTACAAAGCCTCAGTAATTTTTTATTAAAAATTCAGTTAAAAATGTCTAGAGTTTCAAGTAGAGAATGGGGCCCTAACTTAGGTTTTGCCATTAAAATGTCCCTTTTCCCCACTACCCCCAAAATATACACAAATAAAAGATATTCAGTAAAGATGCTCAATAGGTTGCTTACATGGAAATTCCACTTCTCTAAATTGTAGTTAAAGAAGGGCAGAAGAGAGTTTAGCCATCTTTGGCTATCTAGAAAACTAATAGCATTTGAAGTACACAACATTAAAAGATAGGATTATAAACTCAATCATTAATAATACAAATAAATCCATAGAAATATCTCCATAATAGTGTTAGACAAGCAGGCCACACTGCATCCCAAGCAGTGCTATATAGCTAACTGGACTGTTACATTGCAGAACATTCATTCAATTATTCAATACTTTTTTTTTTTTTTTTTGAAGACAGAGTCTTGCTCTGTCACCCAGGCTGGAGTGCAATGGCCTGATCTCGACTCACTGCAACCTCTGCCTCCTGGATTCTAGCGATCTTCCTGCCTCAGCCTACCGAGTAGCTGGGACTACAGGCACATGCCACCATGACTGGCTGATTTTGGTCTCTTTAGTAGAAATGGGGTTTCACCCTGCTGGCCAGACTGGTCTTGAACTCCTGACCTCAGGTGATCCACCTGCCTCGGCCTCTCAAAGTGCTGGGATTACAGGCATGAGCCACTGTGCCCAGTCCAATACATATTTATTGAATGCTTACTGTGTGCTAAATACTGTTTAAAGCACTAAAGGTATAGAAATGAACAAACTGATATTAATAAAATTCCTGTCCTCATGGCACTTACATTTTGGTGGAGACAGCCAATGAACCAAGAAATAAGTAAAATATATAGCACACAGGGGGATAAAAGTTATATGGATAAGTAAAAATCAATTGTTGGGGAGCAGGATATAGTGAGGGAAAGGGCTGGCCAAGCAAGGCCTCACTGAAAAAATGATATTTGAGACAAGACTTGGAGGTTAAGAGGAAGGCCAGGCAGATATCTGAGGAAAGAGAGTTTCAGGCAAGGAAACAGCAAGTTCAAGGAATTTGCATGTTCAGGCAACAGCAAATATGCCAATGTGCCTGGGGCTGAGTAAGTAAGTATAGGAGTGTTAAAGAAGAGATTAGAGATGGAAAGAGGGTACCAGATCAAGGAGAGGCTTGGAGATTACTGTATAAGGATGTTAAATATAATCCTAAGAATAATGTGAAACCTGTTGAAGGTTTTTAATGAACAAATGAAGTGATCTGATTTGCGTTGTCAAAGGTCTACTCTGGATGCTAAATTTAAAAGAAACTGTTGGTGGTGGATGGCAAAGGTGGTGAGGGAATAAATGGAATAAAACAGAAAAAAATCCCCTGCCCTCAGCTTACTTTCTAATTTTACATTTCAATGACCTGAAGCAGATACTGAATCTTACAAAGGCTTTTCTTAATTCAGTTAGTTATAAAATTACATACAACTCGTTACAGCTAATCTCAACAGATACCTGCAACGACAGCAAACAGTAGATAAGCAGGTGCTTCTGGTGGATATACACCAAGTTCATTCTGCATTGAGCAAGGTGAGAAACAGAAGAGGCACACTAACTGGTTCTACTTACTTAAATCTCTAAAGAAGGGTGGATGTCTCCATAATCTGTCCAAGCAATTCATGTGCCATTTCAAAGGTCTTGAGACTAATAAACCACTCTATCAACAAAAGGAAGTCATGTTAACACAAGGCTATAAAGATTCATGATTTCTCCTCTGTGATTCACATGTCACACAGAAGCCTCTGGTTTTCCCAAAAACGTTAATAGAAATTTCACAGCAATTATTTTATTTTTATTTATTTTTTTGAGACAGGGTCTTGATCTGCTGCCAAGGCTGGAATGCATTAGTGTAATCATGGCTCACTACAGCCTCAACCTCCTGGGCTCAAGTGATCCTCCCAGATCAGCCTCCCAAGTAGCTGGGACCACAGGTGCACACCAAGAGGCCTGCCTTTTTTTTTTTTTTTTTCAATTTTTTGTAAAGATGGGGCCTCACTTTATTGCCCAGGCTGTCCTTGAACTCCTGGACTGAAGTGATCCTCCAGCCTCAGCCTCCCAAAGTGCTGGGACTATAAACATGAGCCCCTGCACCTGGCCCTGAAGCAATTACTATTATTACTAATTGAGACAGGGTCTTGCTCTGTTGCACAGGCTGGAGTGCAGTGACACAATCATGTCTTACCGCAGTCTTGACCTCCTGAGCTCAAGCGATCCTTCTGCCTCAGCTTCCTAAGTAGCTGGGACCACAGGCATGTGCCACCATATCTGGCTTTTTTCTTTTTTTTTTTTTTTGGTAGAGATAGGGTCTCACCATGTTGCTGAAGCTGGTCTCAAACTCCTGGGCTCAAGCAATTCTCCTGCCTCAGCCTCCCAAAGTCTTGGGATTACAGGTGTGAGCCACCACACCGAGCCTAGAGCAATTATTTTAAAACAACAGTAGCATCATTCAGAAAGGCCACATCTGGAGCGGTTAAGAGCACAGACTTCTGGAGCAGAGTGTCTGGGTTTCAATCTCACCACCGCTTACTAGGTATATGACCTTCAGCAAGAGACAGTCTCTACTCATAGGATTGTTGTGAGGACTAAATTGGCTAAGGCATGACATGTACTTGGGACGAAGCTTGGCACATAGGAAATGTTCAGTAGGCATTGTTTAACAGTGTAATGATATTTATTGAATACTTATGTCATAGAAACTACTGGGTACTTACATATCAATCCTCACAACAATCTTTGGAAATAGGTACTATTGATATCTGTGCTTTGCAGGAGAGCAAGTAGGCACAGAGCTTAAACAGCATGGTCATGTGCAGATAATACTGTTTTGCCTCTTATATACTAGAGTTGATAGTGTTTATACTTCTGGCAGGCCAAAAAATGGCCCCCAAAAGTATTCACACTGAATCCCTGGAAGCTGTGAATGCTATCTTTTAAAAAAATATTTTATTATTTTTATAATTTCAACTTTTTAGATTCAGGGTGTACATGTGCAGATTACTTGAGTCACCCAAGTACTGAGCATAGTACCCAACAATTTTTCAGCCCCTACCCCCTGCCTTCCTTGCTCCCTCCCCTAGTAGTCCCGAGTCTACTGTTAGCACCTTTATGTCCACAAGTACCTGTTTTACTCCCACTTATAAGTGAGAACATGTGGTATTTTGTTTTGTTCCTGTGTTAATTTGCTTAGGATAATGGCTTCCAGCTGTTTCCATGTTGCTAAAAAGGACATAATTTTTTTTCTATGGGTGCATAGTATTCCATGGTGTATAATACCCCATTCTCTTTTTCTAATCTGCTTTTGATGGGCACCTAGATGACTCCATGTCTTTACTATTATGAATAGCATTGTGATGAACATATGAGTACATATGTCTTTTTAGTAGAGCAACTTACTTTCTTTTGGATGCATACCAGTAATAGGATTGCTAGGTCAAATGGTAGTTCTGTTTCAAGTTCTTTGAGAAATCTGCAAACTGCTTTCCACAGGGGCTAAACTAATTTACATTCCCACCAACGGTGTATAAGCATTCCCTTTTCTCTACAGCCTTGCCGGCATCTGTTGATTTTTGACTTTTTAATAATACCCATTTTAACTGGTATAAGAAGGCATCTCATTGTGGTTTTGATTTGCATTTCTCTAGTGATGCTGAACATTTTTAAATGTTTGTTGGCTGCTTGTATGTCTTCTTTTGAGAAGTGTCTCTTCATGTATTTTCTCCATTTTTTAATGGGGCTATTTGTTTTTTGCTTGTTCAACTGTTTGTTTCTTATATATTCTAGATGTTAGACCTTTGTTGGATGCATAGTTTGTGAATATTTTCTCTCATTCTGTAGGTTGTCTTTTTATTCTGTTGATAGTTTATTTTGCTGTGCAGAAGCTCTTTAGTTTATGCAGGTCCCACTTATCAATTTTTGGTTTTGTTGCAATTGCTTTTGAGGACTTAGTAATACGTTCTCTCCTATGACCAATCTCCAGAAAGATGTTTCCTAGGTTTTCTTCTAGAATTCTTATAATTTGTGGTCTTACACTTTAATCCCTCTTGGGTTAATTTTTGTATATGGTGAAATATAGAGGTCTGGTTTCATTCTTTTGCAATGTGACTAGCCAGCTATCCCAGAACCATTTATAGAATAGGGAGTCATTTCCCCATTGACTATTTTTGTCAACTTTGATGAAGGTCAGGTGGCTGTAGGTGTGCAGCTTTATTTCTGGGTTCTCTGTTCTGTTCCACTGGTCTATGTGTTTCTGTTTTTGCACCAGTGCCATGCTGTTTTGTTTACTGTAGCCTTATAGTATAGTTTGAAGTCAGGTAATTTGATGCTTCCAGCTTTGTTTTTTTGTTTAGGATTGCTTTGGCTATTTGGGCTTTCTGTTGTTGTTGTTCCATATAAATTTTAGAATAGTCTTTTCCAGTTTTGTGAAAAATGATATTGATAGCTTGATAGGAATAGCATTGGACTTGTAGATCGCTTTGGACAGTATGACTATTTTAATGATATTGATTCTTCCAATCTGTGAGCGTAGAATAGTTTTCTATTTGTTTGTTTCCATCTGGGATTTCTTTCAGCAGTGTTTTGTAGTTCTCCTTGGGGAGATCTTTTACCTCTTTGGTTATTTGTATCCTAGGCGTGTGTGTGTGTCCATGTGTATTGTAAATGGAATTGCATTCTTGATTTAGCTTTCAGCTTGAATGTTATTGGTGTATAGAAATGCTACAAACTTCTGTATGTTAATTTTGTATCCTCATACTTTACTGAAGCGCTTATGAGTTTCAGGAGCCTTTTGGCAGAGTCTTTAGTTTCCTAAGTATCGAGTTATATCATCAGTGAAGATAGTTCGACTTTTTCTCCTATTCGCATGCCTTTTATTTCTTTCTCTTGCCTGATTGCTCTGGCAAGGACTTCCAGTACTATTTTGAACAGGAGTGGTGAGAGTGGGCATCCTTGTCTTATTCCAATCTCAAGGGGAATGATTCCAGTTATTGTCCATTCAGTATGATGTTGTCTGTAGGTTTGTCAGAGATGGCGCTTATTTTTTGAGGTATGTATCTTCAATGCCTAGTTTTTTGAGGGTTTTTATCATGAAGGGATGTTGGATTTTACTGAAAGCTTTTCCTGTGTCTACTGAGATGATCATATGGTTTTTCTTCTTAATTCTGCATATGTGGTGAATCATATTTATTGATTTTCATATGTTGAGCCAACCTGCATCTCAGAAATGAAACTTACTTGATCATGGTGAAGCAATTTTTTATGTGCTGCTGTATTTGGTTTGCTAGTATTACGTTGAGGAGGTTTGCATCTGTGTTCATCAGGCATATTGTCCTGTAGTTTTCTTTATTCATTTTGAATGTTACCCCTAAAAGAGTCTTGGCAGATGTGACTAAGAATCTTGAGATGAGGAGATAATCCTGGTGGGCCCTAAATGCCATCACATGAATCCTTATAAGAGAGAGGCAGAGGAATATTAGGAACAGACACAAAGAGGAGAAGGTCATTGAAGACAGAGCAGAGGATGCTACCACAAGGCAGTGAATGCCAACAGTCACCAGAAGCTGGAAGAGGCAAGGAAGGGCTCTCCCCTAGAGTCTCTGGAGGAAACACAGTCCTGTCCACGCATTGATTTTGGGCTTTTGTTGCCTTAAGCCATCAAGTTTGTGGTAATTTGTCACAGCAGACCTAGGTAATAAGTAAATACTCTATCATATTCTAGAACCTATCATAGTTTCTACCATCTGTTCTCTTAATGAAAAAATAATTCATACATTTATTACATGTTTATTGAAAGGCTACTATGTGCCAGACTCTGTTCTTGATACTCTGTTCTTGATACCATCTCCCTCACTGGCATTAGAGGAAATGGACAATAAGCATGTAAACAAGTAAGATAATTTTAGACAGAAGCACAGTGAAGAAAATAAAGGAGTGAAAGGAATAGGGAAAGAATGAGTGGGAAGGGGGCTCCTTTAGCTCATAGGGTCAAGGAAGCACTCTCAGAAACCATGATATTTGAGCTGAGCATCACAATAATGAGTGATAAATGCTCAGATAAATAACAGGAGAAAGATGCTCCTGACAAAGAGAATAGCAGGGAAAAAGTCTTGCGTCAGAAATGATCTTGGCATATCATAAAAACAGAAGGCCAATATCACTAGAGAGTGACGAAAGAGGGACAGAGTAGCAAGAAATAAATTTAGCAAGGAATGCATGGTCCAGGCCATGTAGGACATTTGTATCAATTATCTATTACTATAGTAATATGGTGTAACACATGCAAAACTTCAGAGGGTATACAACAATAAATGTTTATGTCTTATGCTTTTTGGGTCAGTTGGGCATCTGCTAGGCAGCTCTACTGACCTCAAGTGGACTTTCTCCAGTGTCTGGTGCTTGAATGGATGTGTGCTGATCGAGGATAGCCTCAGCTATGGCAGTTAGGGTAGCATGGCTCTCCTCCATGTGGCTCTCTCCAGCAGGCTAGCATGGGAATGTTTTCATGGTGGTGGCAGAGGCTCAAGAGGGAATTCCCAATGTGCAAGACCATTTCAAGCCTCTGCTTGCATGATATCTGATAATATCTCATTAGTTAAAGCAAATCACATGCCTGAAACCAGAGTCAAACAGTGGGCAGGTTACCCCACCCACAGTGGGAAGGCATGCCAAAGTTACATGGCATGAATATAGAGAACAATGAAAAAGTGAAACCATGAAGGCAAGCTTATGCAGATATTTAGGGCCTTGATAAATTAATAAATATAAGAAATAATTATATTTAAACAGGATGATAATGTATTACACATGTTGGAGTTCAGACAAGAGGATTTGGCTGTAGTACTCAGAGAAAGCTGCAAAAGGAAGGTCTTGAAGGATATTTTAGATATAGATAGGTGGAGGGACAAGATGAGGGTATTTTAAGAGCAGGGAATATCATAAACAAAGTTATGATGGCAAAAAAGGACTACAAATACATAGAATGAAAAGAATGGCATGTATATCATTATCAAGACACTTTCATCTGATCCAATCTCTATCACAAACAGAAGAAAATGAAGCAGAACAAATGAATCACATGTTCCTCCTACATAGTAAAACCACTACATTTCAAAATGTTTTCAGTCTAGAGTTCTCAATATAAGTAGAAATGTCTGAGGGTTAAAGACATCCATGAGTACAAACATAAATTCCTAACATGTGTTAGAATGAAGACTCAATACACTACTTACCATAATGGTGAAGAAACCTGAAATTATGAATCAATGTATACAAAATAACAAGCTTTGTTGGTAACCCAATGTTGAAAGCTATCATCAGATTGTTATTCTCGAAGCATACTATCAGATGACTCCAAAAGTACTCAGAATCAAAACAATATCCAAGAATCATCTTTACAAGGTAACTGAAAAATTTAGCCATGAACATCATTTCAAGCATGTTCACATAACTTTTTTTTTTTTTAATTGAGATGGAATCTTGCTCTGTCGCCCAGGCTAGAGTGCAGTGGTGCATTCTCAGCTCACTGCAACCTCCACTGTCCGCATTCAAGAGATTCTTGTGCCTCAGCCTCCCGAGTAGCTGGGACTACAGGCACATGCCACCACAGCCGGCTAATTTTGTTTTTTTTACTTTTAGTAGAGACGGGGTTTCACCATATTGGCCAGGTTGGTCTTTAACTCCTGACCTCAGATGATCCATCCTCTTCAGCCTCCCAAAGTGCTGGGATTACAGGTGTGAGCCACCACGCCTGGCCTTACATAACTCTTAATGTTACTTATATCTTGATTTGTGGCAAAAAGATGTTAAGGCAATTTTCAAGATATTAGTCTACAGCTCTAAAAATTGGTGATGTGTAATTCACTACAACTGGTTTCTTCATTTCACTTTTAAAATAATTCTGTTTGGATGACACTAAGAGCAACATACCATCCAGTAACGAGATCCAGGGAAGCAGCTAGTCCACTAGTACTCATAGACAGAGATGAATTCAAATGTGCATATAATTAACCAAAAAGAGGAAACTATATCCATAATTCAAATCCACATTGTTGCAAAATAAATATTTAAATCAATTCATCCATGTTTACCAGCTGTAACAGTGGAACAAAGCTTGAGGATATCCACGTTCCTACTCAACTGGTCTCACAGTTACTGGACTAATTACAGTGGAGCATCATAAACTCTCCCTGTGTCTCCCACCCCACTATCTCACAAACCAACTGCATTGAGCATGGTGAGAAGATACCTTACCCACTCCAATTCTTGGAGCAAAACAAGAGCTTAACCATCTTCACCACTCTCAGCTGGCCCCCATATCTCGCGTCTCTAAGTACTCTCTACAAGCCCACATGCTGGAAGCCTTGGATCTCTCTTCTGAGCCTTCAAATTAAAAACAAACAAACAAAAAAACTCAAGTTGACTCTTCTCAAAGAAAGAAAAAAAAACTGGAGGTCAACTTACCAACCAAATTCAAACTGTCTCAGAAGGATAACCTCCTAATTTTATTGCTGAATTCTGAGTGGCCTAAACGCCTACCAGGAGCTACCCTTCCCTGCCAACTACATCAACTCCACACACACACACACACACACACACACACACACACACACCTTCTAAGGGAGTGTCAGGACTAATTCCCTTGCTAGCCAAATTACCACACCTTGTTCTCTCTTACCCTTGCTCTCCATCCAGATATGAGCCCCTCTAGATATCTATCCTCCCACACTTTCATCTCTAAACAGCACTGTGTTTCTTCTCTCTTCTCTCTCCAATCTTTGTACTATACCTTCTGAATAACAAATACCCTTATAGCGTTCTCCACTTCACTGATCCCATTACCACCACACATACTTAAGAGTTGGGAAGGAGGATGAATGTCTATTTTATTCCATACTGTTTACAGCATGTAAATCCTTTTGTTACTTGAGTCCCACAAATTCAGCATAGCCACTTCTTATCATGCTACAATATCTTCCATCTTTAAATAGCAATAGCCAACTCTCTTCCATCTACAATCTAATTTTTCTGCATTCTTCAGTGTAAATCGGTGACATACTATTTATATTCACTGTTTCCATTTGTTCTCTTTCCATTCTTATTAAATTCTCTCCTATCAAGGTTGAATCTCTACCAGTGTCATTGAAACTGCTTCATTAAGGTCAGCAATGACTATCACATAGCCAAATCAAAGATAAATTCTCAGTTCTCATCTTACTCAACCAGTAGCATTCAGCACAGCCAATCATTGTGCTTTTCTATATTTGAGATGATCGTGTTTTTGTCTCCTGTATTCATTTACAGTGGTGAATTTTACCAATTTTTTTCTGAAAGTTCAATTTTACATTCCTGAAATAAACCTCACCTGGTCATGAAATTTTACCTTTTTCATAACTGGATTCTATTTGATAACATTTTGTTTAGGATTTTTACATCCATGTTCATTAGAAATATTGGCCTATAATTTTCCCTTCTTGTAATAGCATTATCAGGTCTTGGTACCAAATTTATGCTAGACTCATAAAAAGAGTTGGGAAGTGTCCGTCAGAAGTCAATCACAGAAGCAGAACAACACACATACATATTCACATATACAGAAATATATACACAATTTGTTACATAAATCTGTCTCATGCAATTGTGAAAGCTAATTAAGCAATATTAAGCAGATCATTCCATCTAATGCTGGAGTCCACAGGGCAGGCTGCCAGGAAGGAAAGATGGATGTAAAGTAGGGAAGAAGAAGAACATACTGGAATTCACCAGCATGAGCTGAAACCCATGAGGATAGACTGAAACTCATATCATATCTTGCTGCATCTGACCTCAATGGTATGGATGTCCTCAGGACAGCTAGTCTCCTTTGTCACAGAACTGCACACATGTGTCCCAGGAGTCAGAGAAACTGAAAGTGGATCCAGCGAAAGTGGAGCAGTCGCAGGTCTGACTGCTGCAGAGCCAACGACATGAGCCAGCAGATAAGCGACATCATGTGTGAACCGTACGTGACATCTGCTTCACTTCTGCTCTCCAATCTTATACAGGAATGTCTCATGTGGCCCACTCCAGTTGGAAACATAGATAAAGAGAAGAAAATTCTGGGGTTGGGGGGAATTTCTGGGGTGGGAGGAATATATATGTAATATATATAACTCTTACAACTCAGTAATAAAAAGAAACATCCCTCGCCCAACAAAATGAACAAAAGATCTAAACAGACACTTCACAAAAGAAAATATATGAATAGCTAACAAGCACATGAAAAAGTGCTCAACATCATTAGTTATTAGGAAAATGTAATTAAAACACGATATCACTACTCATCTACCAGAATGGCTAAGATTAAGACTGACAACATCAAATGCTGGTGAGGATGTGGAGCAACCAAAGCTCTAATACAGTCTTTGTTGAAGTATAAAATGGTACAATCACTTTGGAAAATAATCTAACAATTTCTTACAAAATTAAAGATACATCTATCTTATATCCTAGCAATTCCATTCCTATATATTTACCCAAGAGAAATAAAAACACATGTCCACAAAAAGACTTGTGCAAGAATGTAGATAGTGTTATTCGTAATAGCCAAAAACTGGATACAATTCAAGAGTCCATTAACAGGAAAAGAGACAAGTCAATTGTAGTATATTTATACAACGGTAATAAAAAAGGAAGGAACTACTGCTTCTTACAACATTAAAGATGAATGTCAAACATGCTGAGTGAAAGAGGCCTTCCATAAAAGACGTCATACTGTATATTTCCAAAATAGGCAAAACTAATTCACAGCAGAAGAAATTAGAACAGTGATTGTCTAAGAGCAGAGTTGGAATGACGGGTGGGAGTGGGGAAAATGGTGGTACATGTAAACTCTAACAAGGTAAGACATAACTTTCTGGGGTGATGGCAATGTCTTGTATCTTGAAAGGACTTTGGGTTTCATAAGCAAACACATTTGTCAAAAATTAGCAAATATGCACTTATAGTTTATGCATTTTACTTTCCATAAATTTTACTTCAAAAAAAAGCTGTAAACAACTATTAAATTCCAGTTAATGATACGTATGTTGAAGTATTTCATGAAAAGCATACTGATATATGCAATATCCTTTGAAATGCATTAAAAGAATAAGATGATTAATAAAGGGATGAAGGGATAGAAGTAAAACGTTAATGGTAAACGCTAGGTGAAAGTGTATGGGTTGTTTACTATAGAAATCTGAGAAGGAATTTTAAGTTTTCTTATATCTTTTGATAATTTATATAAGTGAGCAATCTTGTTTTTACACTCATACAATTAGCCACTAAGAAATTGATGATTCTCAGTAAGCCAATGGCCAATTGCCATTTAATTTACTGGTGACACATAGCAAAGATGTGTTAATTGGAACAAAGAGAAATTTAATAAAGTGACTTGCAAATATACAGTGTTAGCAGTAGTTCAACAGAAAATGAAGATCATATTTTATATAAGCCTTTTGCCTTTGTAAGGTTTACTGAACCACCCAAGCCCATCTGGCAATAGTTTTACTTCTCCAAAGTTCCCTTCTACTACTTGGGGACATACCATTTTCAGCATCAATGAAAAAGAAGTCTACTATGCTCCACTGCACATCACAGTAACCAAAGTTTTTTTTAAAAAAAGTTATCATTAAAAAAATTGGAAACTATCTCCATAATTAAATGGTTATGGCAAAACCTCATAATGCTCAGAGGCTATGACAGTTTAAACAAAATAAAACATTAACTTCTCTAAACCGTCAAAATCATTTGGATTTGGTCCCAATTTTGAGTGAAGATCAGCCAAGCCAATTCATCCAGTGGAAATTTAAAACAAAGTACATAATTATTAATATTTATTACCCTCCCACAACAGCATCTAAGAAAAAAGATTTCCATTAACAAGGACTTTTTTTTTTTTTTTTTTTTTTTTTTCCAGACAGAGTCTCGCTCTGTCGCCTGGGCTGGAGTGCAATGGCACCATGTTTGGTTCACTGCAACCTCCGTCTCCTGGGTTCAAGCAATTCTCCTGCCTCAGCCTCTCCAGTAGCTGGAATTACAGGCACCCACCACCATGCCCAGCTAATTTTTATATTTTTAGTAGAGATGGGGTTTCACCATGTTGGCCAGGCTGGTCACAAACTCCTGACCTCAGGTGATCCACCCACCTCGGCCTCCCATGGTGCTGGGGTTACAGGCGTGAGCCACCGTGCCCAGCCTAACAAGGACTTTTATAGATTAAACAGGCACATCCAAACCAGGTTCAAACCAAGGGAAACAAAGTAGGGCACAACTAACAACATTAAAAAGATAAGGAAGCTCTAAGATCAAAGAAGTCAAGGGATGTCAGAGTCCTTTGTTTATAATTATAATCACAAAACATTTACTGAGAAAGATCTTAATAGTCCCCGAGAAAATCAGCAGTTAAGTCTACCTCAGATAAAAAGTACTTAAGTGAAATGGACAAATTATACAATAATGTAAATTCCTAAAACAAACTAAAAAAGAAACAGAGAAGCTAAATGTTACTACAGCTACTGAAGAAAGTACATCAATTCTTAACAACAAAAATCCTACCAAGAAAACACCAAACCCAAAGTCTAACAAGAGAGAAAAGAAAGAAGGATAAATCTTGCCCTCAATGTAAGAAATTGGTACAAACTTAATATCAAACCAAAGTCAATATAAAAAAGGAAAATTACAAATCAATCTTACTCATAATAAATGTAAAATGTACTAAATCAAATATTGCCAAATTGAATCCGATAATTTAAAGGTTTCTTCATGAACACATGGTTAGTTTAACATTAGAAAAATCTGTTAATATTTCCAAAGACTGAAGGAGAAAATGATCTGGTCATCTCAATATATGCAAAAAAAGCATTCAATAATATTCAACAACAATTCATGATAAAAACTATTAGTAAGCCAGAAACAAAAGAGAACATCCTGTACTTTATAGCAAGTATCTATAAGAAACCTACAGCAAACATTACGCTCAGTGGTGAAGCATTAAAATCATTATCTGTAAAATCAGTAACACTGTAAAGATATCTCTTCTCTCCATTTTCAGTATTTACTGGAGGCTTTGGCCAGTGTGTATGAACACATGAACAGACACAAAGACATGTATACACAATATAGATGAAGTTAGGAGAAAGAGATAAAATGCCATTATTTTATCATTTATATCAATTGTCTTCATACAAAATCCCAAAGAATCTATACATTTATAAACAATTAAAAAGAAAAAAAAATAAGAGTTTAGAAAGTTTTTTTCTGTTATCAAATTACTATGCACAAGCCAAATGCACATGCACATACCAGCAATAATGTTAGAAAGATCATTTCAAAATACAATTTATAATAACCAAAAATAAGAAATTCAATTAAATTATAAAGAATTATAATTCTCTCAACAAAGGTATGCAAGACCTTTATGAAGAAAAGAAAATGTCATTAAAAGATTAAAGAAGAAAAAAAGATTAAAGAAGATCTAAGCAAATACAGAAAAATGTCATGCTCATAGATAATAAATTACCTTCAGGATATCAGTTCTTCTCCAAAATTAATCTATAAATCTATAAAACCAATGTGATTATAAGTTGAGCATCCCAAATCTGAAAAGCCAAAATCCAAAAATGCTCCAAAATCTGAAACTTGTTAAGCATTAACAATATGCTAAAAAATATATATTCATTGAAGCATTTCAGATTTCAGATTTTGGGATACTTAACTGATATAATGCAAATGTTCCAAATTCTGAAAAAAATATCCCAAATCCAAAAATACTTCTGGTCCTAAGCATTTCAGATAAGGGATACCTAACTAGAACCTTAATATCCTGTCAAGTGTTCTTACGGAACTTGAAAAGCTGATTTTAAGATTTATATGGAAAAGAAATGACTAAGAATAGCTAAGGAACTGCTGTAAAAGAAAAACATGTGGGTAAGTAGAGGGCTGGGAAATTTGACCAGATATTAAAAATTATTTTAAAGTTATATTAATACTGTAGATTTGGCTGTGGAATAGAACGTTCTGAAAGGAGCCCACACATATATAGAAATCTGATATACTGTAGAGATGGCACTGCAGATTAGTGGGGACAGGATGACTTCTTCAAGAAATATATAAGGACATTGGAAAAAGTAAAATTACATCTCTATCTTATATCATACACAAAATTACAGATGAATTACAAACCTAAACATGAAAGTCAAAATATTTAAACTTTTAGAAGAAAATATATGAAAACACGTTAATAATCTAAGGATTGAGAAGGATTTCTAAAAAAAAACAACACATTAAAAGTAGTTGCCATAAAGAAAAAAGAAAAATATTTAAACATTAAAATTAATCAGTTTGGTTCACCAAAAGACACCAGAGGGGTTGAAAATATGTCACAAACTGAGCGAAAATAATTGAAACATATATAACTAACAATTAATATCCAGAATATATAAAGAACTCCCATAAATAAATTAGAAAAAGACAACCCAATAGAAAAATGGACAAAGCCAAAAAAGAAAAAAAAAAAAAGCATTTAACATAAGAGGAAACATAAATGGCTCAGAAACATATGGGAAGACACTTAACCTCTTTGGTAATTAGGAAAATACAAATTAAAAGGACAATGAGACACAAGAGTCAGCTAGGACATGGAACAATGGAAATTCTCATACCCTGCTTATCGAGGGCACAAATCGCTTACAACTAT
Source organism: Homo sapiens (assembly GCF_000001405.40). Classification (NCBI taxonomy): domain Eukaryota; kingdom Metazoa; phylum Chordata; class Mammalia; order Primates; family Hominidae; genus Homo; species Homo sapiens. Next base: position 102,198,689 of record NC_000012.12, on the reverse strand, counting down.
GTTGGAAAACATTTTGGCATTAGTAAAGCTGAACATATACATACTCCATGATCCAGTAATTCCATACTGAGAAATATACTCTAGAAAAATTCTTACATATATGTACCAGAAGACATATAAAAGAATGTATTATCTTATTCATTGGGGTCAAAATTAGAAATTAACTCTGAAATGTTTAATTAAAAGTCATACAACATAAACTCATCATCCAAAAGTAATGTTTATGGGCACATAAATATTCTTTTCATGGACTAATTCATTAATTTCTAAATTCATTAATAAATATTTGTACATATTATCCTTTTGTAAATGCAGAGATAAAATACACCTGACAGGTCAATTTTTGATATAGCATGAATGGCTTTTTGTTCACACTGACAGGCATATGTACTTTAATCACCAAAAACTATATCAAGTATTTATAAAAGAAAGTCTCTTTTGAGGATTATTTCAGTTTAATCAGGATTAAAAGGAAATAAAACTTTATCCTTATCATCCTTGAGTGAAATAACTTGAGTTTTAATATCTTTACTTAATCAGAAAATACACAAAAGGAAACAATAATATAGAGAGAGCCTGATGTCCTGTGGTCTTCCTTAATAACAACCCATTTTCAAGAGACTATAATCTACTCAACAGAAAGCATTCTACCAAGGATCTTAGTCAGATTCTGAGAAAATTCACACTCAAAATAAACAATGTGTCACTAAAACCAAAACAATGTAGGTATTAGCAGCTGCATAAAGGTTAGCCTCAATCTAATGAGTCATTTCTAAAATGATGAAAAGTATAATTCTTTGAAGTGCTTTCTATTCAAGCTAGAAAATATATAAAGATACAGAATCGTTTACCAAGCAGGCTGACAGAGAAATTTTTCATTTTCTTTCTTGTTTGACTGTATGCAAACATCAAACTAAGAATGGCAAAAATGAATCTCTCTTCCTATATATTAATACTAACTTTTTCTTTGTTTTCTCAAGGTATTTTACTTTCAGCATCCAAGTCCATAAGAAATTTAGATGATGACATGGTATTTAATACATTCAGGTTGGGGAAAGGCTTTCAGAAGGAAGACACTGCAGAAAAATCAGTTATTGCTCCTTCCCTGGAACAATATAAAAATGATGAGAGCAGTTTCATGAACGAAGAGGAAAATAAAGTTTCAAAGGTAAGTGGCAATGTGACTTGTCGTTTATTTCAATGAAAATTTAAATGATTCTTACAAATCCTCTGAAAAGTAAAACTGATACTTTTATAAACAGAAGTATATGCAAACAGTCACAATATGCATTAGGACGACTGACGATATTTCTTACATGCCAGGTAGTTCTTCCATCCCAGCAAACACCTCTTATCTGAAAGTGTTTTTTCTCCTATAAATTTGCATCTAAGGTATTTTTAAAAAGTCAAAAACAGTGCAGAGTAACTTTGAATTGATCAACAAGAATATTATACAATTGTATTATAGTTCCACTCCGAATACGATAGCTAAAAACCAAATCAACCTTCTCTTTACAGAACACAGGCTCCAAACATAATTTCTTAAATCATGGTCTGCCACTGAATCTGGCTATAAAACCTTATCTTGCACTAAAAGGATCTGTAGCTTTCCCAGCTGAGAATGGAGTTCAGAATACTGAATCAACACAAGAAAAGAGAGAAATTGGGGATGAAGAAAACTCAGCTAAATTTCCTATAGGAAGGAGAGATTTTGACAGTGAGTAGTCTTTTCAAAATTCAATTCTTACATCCTACCACCATTAAACAGAACTCTGAGTTAAAGTGAATTTGGATGCAATCATAACAAAATCAAATAAGACCATGGCTCAATTACACCTGCCAAAAATGTGGGATTAAATAGCAACAATTAATTATTATCATTTTGGTTTACTCAGAATTAGTTATACTAGATCCATTCTTTTTTTCTTAATAAATTTTGTGTGATAATTATAGTCCTTTAAACAATTTAAACTTTCTTCTTCCTTCAGTGCTCAGATGTATGCTGGGAAGAGTCTACCGACCTTGTTGGCAAGTCTGATACCTGTTGGTCCACATCATCTTTTCAGAAGAAAATAAAAGCATTTAATTGCCAATGGGAGGAGAAGCCCATACTGCTACTATAACTTGTGTATGTTAAATGTCTGTTTTAAAAGAAAGTAGTGTTAAGATGTATCAGTAACTGAAATGATATGCTTTCTCTGTGCATTAAACTTTGTGAAAATTCTGCATAATTATGACTTACTAGTATTTTTAAACAATGCTTAACATACTAACCTTACATACACTGTAGACCAAAATAATAAATCATCATAATTTACACCTTGATCTCTTAAAAATTAAGCATGTCTTTGGTGAATGGTTTATAGATACATAAACCTAAAGCATATAAGACACAAATTTATAGTCTAAAAAACTGAGTTAACTTTGCCTGGCCAGAAATCAACTTGTCCTTGGCAGTACATTTATTACTTTTTGCTACTTTAGCTAGTTTGCCGTACAATCTATTCTGTGAATCATTTGATTTCTTAGGTATTTTAGCATTTTTATGTTGAGGTGGTTCATTTCTATTATCACAGAGAATATTTTCACCATCCAAATCCACCTGTTTCCTTTTTGAGCTTTTATTTCCTGTCTGACTGGTTGATTTTCTTGATACTTTTTCATTTTTACTTCTGTCCAGATGAACATTTCCAAAACTCGTTCCAATTGTTGATCTTCCAACAGATGGATTTACACCCTCTGTTATGCAAGATAAAAAGGGGAAAGGAATTACATGATATTGAGTATTAATATTTACGAGAACTTTACAATAAACTTTAAAAATGGCTAACGAATATTCAAATTTTTAAAGTAAAATAATGCTATAAATAATATGATTGACAAATATAGCTACATTACTATCCTATTACTTTTCATTTTATCATAGCACCTCTGAGTTAGCTTTGGCCAGTAATCAACTTGTCAGCCCTATTAAGAAATATTTGTTTGAATGCATGACATTTAATCCTTAAACATATGCTACAAATTACTTCTTAAATACATTTAGTTAAATCAAACTGTGTCCTATTCCTATCGATAAATTTGTACTTAGATTTAACTTTTTAAATAAACTGAGGTCTTTAAAAATATTACCCTTTACATTTCATAGTACTTTGCAAAAATAACCTAATTTTACTTAAGTTAAAACTAATTAGTAGACTAGAATTAAATTGTTATTTAATTGCACAAATAAGGTCAATTACCAGAAAGGTCATTTTCCATGTAAAGAACACACAAAGGCTTTGATGCTAAATTAACATTATTCCAATTATCCTTGCTTATCATGTAGTCATCTTTATAAGTACAAGCAAATTGGGATCTAATTAAAGTTTGCTTCATCTAGTAACAGAAAGAAAGAAGAAAATATGCAAATTTATTCATTATTTTATTTCTTCATCTAGATAGACACACACTCTATAGTAATCAAGGTATAAAAATTTCCCTTAGAAATTCTATTACTCATTGAGAACCTCTCTCTAACCTTTTATATTTCATAGTTTGCAAACTCATTCATTGTTATGGCTAGCATTTTTGTTCTTTTCCAAAATAATAGCTTTATGTATATTTTTGATTTTTTTTTTGGTAACAGTTACAAAACAATCAATTTTAGACTCTTCGCAGGGCTTTGTTACATGTTCCTGTGTCAGCACTGCTTTGGAGCGTCTTATTGTAAGTAAAATAACAATACAGGTGATATACATAATCATAGAAAAATACAAGTTCTTCATCCTAAGAAGAACACACTCTTGGAAAAAAAATAGCATATGGAATTCAAGAAATTAGGGAGGGAAGAAATGCTAAGATGAAAAAAAGAACTAAGTGAGGTCAATCAAAAACAGGAAACTAGCAAAGAAACTGCAAGATAAAACAAAATGATATAGGAAAGACATTATTTCTCGAGTATTTAGGAAAACAAGAAAGATGATTCAATGTATCAGTCTAGAAAGATTTGACCAAGTGACTTAATGGTCAGAAATCCAAAGTATACTCTTGCATTTATCTTCAAACATCAAATAGGAGGGCCTAACTTTCTACATAAATAGGAGAAAATTACAAAGATGAACTCAATTCTTGATCACTGAAAAGGATGCCAAAAAAAGTAGTTTTGGAAATTTGTTCCACAAACATAAACCAGTGAGCTATTGGGGATAGAAATTAATTTTAGAACAAAGTAGCCTATACAAATAATGCCAATTTCAACAATTACAAATGATGTGTAATACCATTCAGGTTTAATGGAGAGATGTCTCCAAATAATTAGAAGTCACCTGAAATCATTTTCTGACATAGACAAAGTTTCAAATACATAATTCAATAAAGATGACTTCAGTAATTCAAAAATGTAACACTTCGAGTATAACTACATTACCCTGATTATTACTTACAGAGTATTTGTTGATACAGTCATGAAATCTAAAACAGCATGACTTTATATATTCAGTAGTTATATATTATATGTTCAAAGATCGATGCATTAATTCACTCAGATGTTTGTAAAGACAATGGCAGTGAAATCTACTGACTATGACTTAGAAAAAGTTAGAATATTCGTCTGTCCAGCTGCTTCATAAAAGCAAGTTTTCCTAGGATGACAAATTTTCTATCTTTCTGACTAATGAGGTCTGTGACAGTCTCCATCTCCCAGATCACTAAAAATTATGTTTCATGTGCTTACATGAAGCATTAGACAATTGGAGTTTTATCTTCCATTTAAGCATAAAATGCACAAAACTGAAAATAAACGTGAAAATATACAAGATCAAAAACTATTTTTTTAAAAGTTGAACAGAATGGACTCACAACCCACTACCTTCATGAATCCCTATGAATGCAACACTTATTAAATAGCTTCTACCTCAAGATGCCCTATATGTAACTGAAGATTTTAAGTAGCTCTTTCTGGACTTTATTAATCCTATAACTACAGATTTAAAGCAGTAGATAAACCTATTTAAATAAGTTTTATTAATAAAATTGACTCTATATTATACTACATAATAGTAGCATTATCCATGAACTTTTATTTCCATCTGCAAAACCAGTACTAACTGTTGACATTATCTTATCACACATTATTTTCACTTCACAAAAGTTATGGCTTATAGAGAATTATAAACTTATTGCTTATAAAGAGTTATAAAGAGTATAGTAAGACCACGCAGGCAAATAGATGCTGAGTGGCTGGCTTGGATCACTCTTTGTAACCCAATAGTGATGGCACCTAGAGTTAGCTTGGGAGATGTTAGCTTCTCACTGCAAAACTCTCATGAGCACCACCCATAAAATATTCTAAATAAAAACATAATACTAAATAATAATTATATTATTTAGTACAGAAAACTAATGTTTCTTCAATCTCATGTTTAGCACAAACAAAAATTTCTTTAGAATGTTTTGTTACTTTTATTAATTTTTAACATATAGTCTAGGTAAAAAAATCTTTGCTTGCTATGCAAATAGTCACAAAATAAGCGCAATAGCTCTCCTTACAACTAGATTTCCTCAATTCAGCCTCCCCCACAGACAAATTCTAAACTCCTCAGAGACCCCAGTACAATTTCAGAAAACTACCATCACAAGGCAATGGATTCCTGAAGTACTGAAAACAAGTTCAGATGTAAAAGAAAAATAATTAATGACTTTCTCTACCATGAAAAATATTATTTATAAATATATTAAAATATAAGAAATAAACACAACAGAACTCCCCCCCTTTGTATATTGAGATTTTTTCTTTTCATAAAGGATTATATGCAGATTTTCTTTCCCTTGCCCTGTACAAAAATCTCTTTTTTTTTAATCAATTACCACTTATTAAGTTCCAACTATGTGACAAGCACAGCGTATACTAGAGATTACTAGGATGGCTTCTACAACTTCAAAAACATTCTACTTATAAAATTTGCTATTGACAAACAGCTGGGAGGAATAACAAATAAACTGGATAACAGAATCAAGATTGAAAAGATTTCAGAAGGCTAGAACCATAAGTAGAAAATAATAAGATGAAAATGGATGGGGATAAACAAAGTCCAGTATTTAAGTTTAAAAATATCAATTACAGAGGTACAGGATGAGGAGAACCTGACTTAAAAACAACATATGTAAAAGACCTAGAGATTTAAATTGATATGAACTTGACTGAGCCAACAACTGTCCAACTAAGAAAGCAGCACAAAAAGATAAGATGATGTGATGGGAAAAGCATCAGATTTGCAGTCAGAAGACCTGGCTTCTAATGCTGGCCGTATTACTTACTAACTAGATAACTTTGGGGAAACCATTATACCTCTCACTTATCCACACATAATGGGAATATTTACCTCACAGAATTATCAGAATTGGATGCAGTTAACATATGTCAAGGTTATATAAACTGCAGAAATCTATGTAGACACTATATCATTATTATTGTAATAACATGTAGGAAGAGAGTATTCCTGTAAGAAAAAGATCTGTTCAATTAGATATCTCAGAATCAGGCCAGTTCTACAATGATCCTAGGAATGCAGCTCAAAAAAATGAACTTACAAACAGCTTCTTCATTTTAATTATTTAAACAACGCAACCTACATTGGCTTATATTTATAACTTAAAAGAGATTGCTTTTCCTTTGTTCATAAAAGTTGAATTTTTCTACACAAGATTAGTGGCTACATAGAACTGAGATTACTTCCTGTTGCAAATCTTCCAAATCTCTCTGTGTATTTGATTTGGAATCACAAATAAGCAAAACAATTCCCTCTTAAAAGTGCTTTTGAAGTACTAAACAACTAAGAATAATGTCCAGATTCATACATGGCTGTTAAAATCATTTCATGTTCAAGTCACATGAGAGAAATGGATTGAAAGTATTCCTTTGTAGAGTGATTTCCTCCCTTTGGAAATATTTCTATCCACAGCATAATTGCAATGAACTTCACACTTGCCAAGAACTGGAAAAGTCCTTTTGCCACAAGCTCTTTTTAATTTGAAATTATTAGTAAGTTCCCAGTTTGAGGAAAATAGTACTTCACATAGGAAAGCCTGACTCCAGTTAAATTAAAATAAATGAGTCAAAACACTGAAAAGTCATAGACACTCAGAGTTAGCTGTATTAACACGAAAATGAAAGTTCTAAACCCCCATTATACCAATAAATATATTAGCAAGTTTGAAAAAGGAAATTATTCAACATACCTAGTAAATATGTAACTAAAAATATTCTAAGTTTACCTTATTTTTACATTATCACATTTTTGAAAGAACAGAGATTTTATATCCTTAATGACATATTAATTGTATATAAATCAAATAATCCTTTTCTTCATCAGTGAAATTCCATTTACTCTGCTTAATAGCAGAAAAAAATCTTTTTGACCTAAGTAGTAGCATTATCGTTTTATGATCCTACATCATAATTGTCATGCCTTTATTTAATCTTTGAAGATAGCATAAACATTGAAGTCTGACACCTGACTATAAACCCTTGCTGTTACTTACTATATGTATGGTCTGCAAAATGATGCCTTCCAGAGTTGAGCAAGGATTAATTGGGATGAGGGATATAAAATATCCAGTATAAACACTGAACACTTAGTAGGTACTCAATAAATCCTGATCCCATTATTTCAGCTAAAACAAATTCAATTTTAATTCAGTCTAATACAAACATTCCTTTTTCATTCTAACGGAAAATGTTGCTCAGTCCCTTATAGACTTTGCTGAATGTCAACCTTCTCAAGGAGACTCCTACTTATGGCTATTTAAAACCCAAACACACACAAAGGAACCCCACTTTCCTTAGGCCCCACCCATTTCATTTCACTCCACAGCACTGATAACCTTCAAATATACCATATAATCCACTTGTTTGTTTATTGTCTGCTTCTCCCAACTAAAATATAAACTCCATCAGCAGTAAAACCCTTACAGTTTGACAACTGATGGCCAGCTGTGGTCCTCCTGTTGCCATCCCCTCCTTACAGGGTGAGGAGTGCCCAGAGCTTTAGACATGCTCACCAGGAAACCATGACCTCCTTTATAGATCCTGTTTCAAGGACCCCTGGGCACTGGGCTGGCACTGGCCTCTTCCTTTAGCCTCAAGAGCTGACTGTTTATGGCAAGGGTGATGGGCTGTGGGGTAGACAGACCTACTGGCAGAGTATTCTTCAGAGTATGAAACAAAATCAAGGTTGAAGGGGTTTCAGGGTAGGCCAGTGGCTTCCATTTATATTATTGCACCTCAGCTGTATAAATCTTTAGAGAAGCCTTGTCCTTTAGGGCAGGAAGGTTTGTCTGTTTTTTTCCACTGATGTATCTCCAGTGCCTAGGACTGAACTTGGTATCCAGGAGGTACTTACTGTTTTTTGAATGAATTAATTAATGAAGTAAAATTACAACAGACTATAACAAGTATATGCAAGCAGAGCTGTGAGGGAACAGAAGCCATGAGCAAGCAAAAGTTTGGAGGTGGAAAAAGAGAACAGACTCTATAAGGTAACCACACGATAATTGTATGCTTGTATCAAAATACCACATGTACCCCATAAAAATATACAACTAGTATGTATCCACAATAAATTTTTAAAAAGTAAGTAGACTTGAAAAGAACAACTACATCACCCTAGGAACACAAGCTTTGAGGTAGAAAAATATGTTCAGAGTAAACTCTACTCTGTTCAATAGGGTAAAGAAACCAGTTGGTACAGAAACAAGAGAGAAATATACATGCAGAGAAAACCTAAATCACATTTAAGTACAAAGAACCATGCAGCTGAATTCCTTAAGCTGCTTAATTTCCACCGTTTACTTTTGAGTTCTTAAATATTCTGCCTTTCTCTCTCGTCCTTACAATAAACCCCTTAAAAAATTACTCTATTCCTTAATACCATAAAAGGCATACTGTCCTTAATCTTCCCCAACATTATTTATTCACTGTTTTTTTTCACAACTACCCTACACACATTCTCTTTACAACAGCAAGGCAATTTAATACTTTCATCATCAGTTGTTTGAAATGCTCTATTTCAATCTCTCTGCCTATTCAAATCCTATTTATTCTCATCTCTTATTATTTCCTCCACTTAATATGGGTCTCTAGTTATTGCATTTAAGTGTATCTTTAATCCATTAGAACTGCATTGTTTAATGTGCTAGCCATGTGCGGATAATTAATTACAATTAAATAAAATTTAAAACCCCGTTCTTCAAATGCAGTGGCCACATTTCAAGAGCTCAATAGCCACATGTGACTAGGACCTTCAGTAATGAACAGTACAAACACAGATCATTTCCATCACTGAAAGTTCTACTGGAGAGCACTGCTCTAGAACAAAGCTTTACAGTCTATGCCCTGTGGCACATTCATGTCTGCAGATGGATTCTCAAAGGACTATGGGACATTTTGTAGTATGCTGGGTCCACACATTTGGAACCCATAGGCAACTTTATATTTGTAAAGGAAACCCTGCATTTGTCCACCCTCTCTTCTAAATGCTAGGTAGTAATCTGATGTGAACTGACCTTTGGAAAGAATTATGACCAATGTATCTTCAAATATTGTTTCTACCCTATTTTCTCCTCTCATTCTGGGACTCCAATTAGGCATACGTTAGACATTTTCTCTGTGTCCTGCTCTTCTATTTTGCTTTTTCATTTGTTTTTCTCTCTTTTCTCTCCAGTTTGGAGATTTTTTTAATGCTCCATCTTCAAGTCCACTTACCCTACCTAATGCTGTGTCTGGTCTTCTACTAACCACATCTAACAAGGTCTTAATTTTAGATAATGTTTTTACAATTCTGGAAAAACATTATCTTTTTTGTTCTATGTCATCGATTCTAAATCTCTGTTGGAATTCTCCATTTTTTTCATATATTTTGACCATCTTTTCCTCCAATTACTTTTATAAGTTAATTTCTTTCTGATTCCTTGCCAGTAAATTTCAGTATCTGGATCATTTGTGAGTCTCCCTCTATTGTTAAATGTTTTCCCTTTATTAAAGGACAAATCATCTTGCCTTTTCTCATGTCCAGTATAGTTTATTTCATGCTGGATATTGCACATAAAGGAACTCTAGAAGCTACAGATGACCTCTTCCAGCAAGAAGAGTTCTCCTTTTCACTGTTAGGCAGACACAGTGAAAGACTGATAACCTCAATACAATCAAGGAATGAGCTGCATCAGAGCTGGGTTGCACTTTTCATTAACTCACATTTGACTTCTGGTTCTTATCTCTTCCTCGGGTGTGCTCTAAGCTTTCAACTGCGAGCCTTGTAGGGATCTCTGTCACCTCTGGCCTAAAATCTGGGAGATTCAGTCTGTTTTTCAGGGGTTTTCACACTATGTTCTGTGATCTCCCACCCCACTTTATTTCCAAATATGGCAAATATCTTGAAAAAAAAAAAAGACCAGCCACGTGTTTGAGGCACGTCCCACTTCTCAAGTGGAATCAAGGTGGTTTTAGTCTATTGTAGTAAGGCTCCCTACCTCCCCACACAACTACAAAATTCAGAGTATGTGTCCTAGGTAAAAATAACTGCATTTAGGACTGCTAAAGTTTCCAATTTGTTGACAGCCCCTCAAGACACCCAAACACTTTGGTGGTTTCTCTGTTCCTCAATAGAGTTCCTTTACATGGGCTAACACCAATCCTCAGCTCATATTCAAAAGTAGCAACAAATCCCAGGGAAGAAAGCAGCTGACAATAGACTTCTCACATCAGAAGGATGTTATCCTGTCCAGATTTTTAATTTTTTAAAAATTCTTTGATTATATAGCTCTCCTATGTCTTTAAAATATATTTTCCCCAACTTATCTGCCTTTTATTGTTTTGCTATCGTAGCGAGAATGGTGTTCTACCATGACGTACTATATCCTCATGAAAAAAAGAAGTCTCCACATCACAACTTGATTCTGTTCCTTCCTTATCTGACAGCATTTTATTTTCTCCTCAGAGTTACATTTTGAAAGCTGCATTTTTTCTGTTATCCCTCATTTTTCCGTAGCTTGAGGAACAGTAGAGGTAGAAGCTCAACTCATCTGAGGAGACAGGTAGTCTATGAAAATTTCTGGGTTCTGCACTCTAGGAGTTTATTACATATTGTATATACCAGAGGAAGGTTCACTTCATCTCATTAGGGAGTGTATTTCAATCAAGTGGAAGGAAAGCATTTGGATAATTTCCCCAATTCAGTAGATAGAACTAGAGCCTTTATTTCTCTCAGTGTGTAAATCCCAGGGTTCATTTTCCACATTTTGTCTATATTCCTCTTCCATTGCCACTTCTACTATTTCTCTAATGAACAAGAAAAAAGAAAAAAAAGGAATGCACACCTTAGTTCTCAGTTTTGGAAGTATTAGTGGTAATCCTCAGAATTTTGCTAATTCACTAGTTCTGTATCTGGGGACTAGGACTAACTAAAGTTGCCAAATCATTCTATGCCTCTTCACTCTGAAATCTTCAGTTTCTTTCCCTGACCATCATCTTTTAAGCTTATTGCATCTGATTACATTATTCTTTCTTAGTTGATGCTGATTATTTTTATTAGTTTTTATTACTTTGTACTCATTTCAAGTATCAGGCAGGGGAAGAAAATTCTATTAGTTAAACTCAATCCACTATTTTAATTTAGATGTACTCAAGAGTTTTCAAATATCATAAAGGTTAAATTTGAAGTTTCTAATACCATGGGGTTAAATAAAAGAATTTGTTAATACCATAGGCATTGGACTACTACCTGGGTGTTTATGAAAATAAAGAGTTCTAGCCAGTCCAGTTTTTTATACCAAGTCCTGACTTTCACTGTCCCAACAGCTCCATGTTAAAGGTCCAGTATTTTCCTGATTAGCACACTTAAGTTATTGACTGGCTAAATGATGATTACTCAGACATTCAATATAATATGCTATAAACATTAGACTCAGAATAAGGAAAAGACCTGTATATATGACTTTTCAATTGTGCCTGATGTGCAAACTACCACTAAACCAAGTTGGAAAGAATAAAGCCAATTAATTCACAGGGATTTAAGGAGGTATCTCCTTGAAAAATCATTTAATAAAAAGGTATAAGGGTACTTATAATAACTTACTTAAAGTGCTTAATAAATTAAAAAGGAAATTAAAAAATTTCTTGAAACAAATGAAAATCGAAACACAACATACCAAAACCTATGAGATACAGCAAAAACAGTACTAAGAGGAAATTTTATAGCAATGAGCACCTACATCCAAAAACAAGAAAAACTTCAAATAAGCAACATAAATATGCATCTTATGGGACTAGAAAAGCAAGATAAACCAAAATCAAAATTAGTAGAAGAAAAGAAAAGGATTAATAAAGATTAGAGCAGAAATAAACATAATTGAAACCAAGAAAACAACACAAAATATCAAGGAAATGAAAAGTTAATTTTTTGATAAGATAAAATCAACAAACCATTAGCTAGACTAAGAAAAAAAGAGAGATGACCCAAATAAATAAAATCAGAAATTTTTTTAAAAAAGGAGACATTACAACTAATATTGCAGAAATTCAAAGGGTCATTAGAGACCACTATGACCAACAAATGCCAATAAATTGGAAAACCTAGAAAAAATAGATAAATTCCTAGATGCATATACACAATCTACCAAGATTGAACCATGAAGAAATAAAAAACCTGAATAGATCAATAATAAGTAATGAGACTGAAGCTGTACTAAAAAGTCTCCCAGCAGCTGGGCCGGGTGGCTCATGCCTGTAATCCCAGCACTTTGGGAGGCCGAGGCAGGTGGATCATTTGAGGTCAGGAGTTGGAGACTAGCCTGGCCAACATGGTGAAACCCCATCTCTTCTAAAAATACAAAAACTAGCTGGGCATGGTGGTGGGTGCCTGTAATCCCAGCTACTTGGGAGGATGAGACAGTAGGATCACTTAAAACACAGAAGGTTACAGTGAGCCGAGATCACGCCACTGTACTCCAGCCTGGTTGAGAAACTGAGACTCCATCTCAAAAAAATAAAAAAAATTATCCCAGCAAAGAAAAGCCCAGGGCCCAATGGCTTCACTACTGAATTTTAGCAAACATTTAAAGAGAACTAATACCAATCCTACTCAAACTATTCCAAAAATAGATGAGGAGACACTTTCAAACTCATTCTACAAGGACAGTATTACCAATACCAAAACCAAACAGAGAAAACTGTAGGCCAACATCTCTAATGAAAATTGATGCACACATCCTCTACAAAATACCAGCAAACCAAATTCAACAACATATTAAAAAGATCATTCATCATGACAAAGTAGGATTTATCCCAAGGATATAAGAATGGTTCGACATATGCAAATCAATCAATGTGATACATTATATCAACAGAATAACGGACAAAAATCATATGATCCTTTCAACTGATGCTTAAAAAGCATTTGATAAAATTCAACACCCTTTCATGATAAAAACCTCTGAAAGACCATCATAAACAAGATTCCTGATACACTACAGTAGGAAATAAAAGTTGAGGACCTAAAATGAGTGTGTTCGTGAACTATTTCCAAAGGGTTTCATAAACTTTTGTGATCGCAGGAGCATCTATTTCTATTTAAGAATGAGGAAACTAAAATCTGAGTTAATTTACTCCATATAATAATGACATGGATATTTCATAAGCAAGTACATCAAAATTCTAAGTTATCTAATTATTTTCTACCTTTGAAATGCTCATTTCAAGATATTTTCTGTGTAGATCATATATTATTTCTGTGACTAAAAACCACTATATGCCAAAAGAGCAAAAGTAACAGAGTAATAAGATAATCAGCTGCTAAACTACTTTTCCATAGGAACTTTGGTAGTAAATATTGGCAGCATTTTTTGTTATTCCAACAAATACTCTACATGGCTATGGTTCAGTTGTATACCTGGTTAAACTAATCATTTTCATACTTCACTTTTAAAAAGAGTATCGCAAAAACATAAGCAATGCTTTCCTTTCTTGATTGCCGTTTATTAGTAGATTCAGAGCTGTATAGACTAAGTCAGCTCTACTGTTAAGTAATGGAAGCAATGTAATTATAACCTCATTAGTATTTAACCATGGTTTTGCAAACTGTTATAAAATATTTCATGGTAGTTATGAGATCTTGGATAAGGTGCCTTCTTAGAATTTTGGTTTCCACATCTGTAAATGAGACTGCATTAGATGATCTCTGTTCTATTTCCCAAAACTTTCTAAATTTGTCTATACGTTTCGTAGTAATTAGTTGAGCCTTAACATTTTCTTTAAAAACACTCTCATTTCTCAGATAGATTTTTTCATTTTGATTTACTTAATTTTAAGAAAATCCAATTGGATTGTTTATAACACCAAGGATAAAATGCTTGAGAGAATGGATACCCCATTCTCCATGATGTGATTATTATGCAATGCATGCTTATATCAAAACATCTCATGTATCCCATAAACATATACACCTACTATGTACCCACAAAAGTTACAAACAACAAAATTTAAAATAATAAAAGTAAATAAAATAAAAGAAAACTCTAAGCCCTTTCCCGGTAATATTTAACGTACTTCACTGTCAGTGATTTTTCCTTATGTCATGTCTTACATTCTTTCTTTTTTTTTTTTTTTTTTTTCAGATAGAGTCTCATTTTGTCACCCAGGCTAGAATGAAGTGGTGTGATCTCCACCTCCCAGACTCAAGCGATTCTCCTGCCTCAGCCTACCGAGTAGCTGAGATTACAGGTGCCCGGCTAATTTCTGTATTTTCAGTAGAGACAGGGTTTCACCATGTTGGCCAGGCTGGTCTCGAACTTCTGACCTCAAGTGATCTGCCTGCCTTGGCTTCCCAAAGTGCTGGGATTACAGGAGTGAGCCACCATACCTGACCCACTTTGGTATTCTATTTGAAATGGAGACAGAGAAATTGAGCTCCCCAAAATATGACTTATTTTTAAATCAAAATATTAAAGTTTGTCAGTATCCATAGCAAGAAAAAAATTTTTTTGATATGTTACACTTCTGTTTCTATCCAAGTCCAATGGATAGATTTTAAAAATCTTATCCCTTGATTGCAAATACTTATATTAATATGACAAAGAATTGACAAATTTTATTCACAGAAAAATTTTATGAAACTCAATGATGTATTCCACAAGCATTAATTGCTAACAACTACTAATAATCAATAGAAAGAAAAGGTATTAATAAATAAACTAAATGGGTATAGGGTATGTAGATGAAACAGGTATTAACTAAAAGCTTTGGTAATTTAAACTAAATTTCCAAATGAAAAAATAAAGGGCATACAAATTAGTCTTCTCTTTTTTGTTGTATCAAGATGAATATTTGACAGTTTAAGGATGATTATAAATTTTATATAAAAATCTTATTTAATGAATTAATGAATTCCCAACCATACAACAGTGTCTGGATCATAGTAGATACCCAATAAAAGTATGATAAATGAGTTAAAGCCAAATTTCTTTTTGAAAAATAAGGCCAATAAAAATTGCTTGAAAACACATTATTGATTACTTATAGGCACAGATGTTTCATATGAAGACAGCAAAACTTAGTTCAAACTAAATGAACAAAGAACAGGAACAGTTCTAGTCAAGAGCAGTGTAAAATGCTCTCAGCTCAATCTATAATTAATTATATTCTGCCATTATATCTTCAGACAGGAGCAAATTTAAAATCACATATCTTGAGATTCAGTTTAAGATATAGAAATGTAAATGAGAAAGCCTTATCTTCTTTTATTTTCCACATCACTCATTCAACGGATATTTATTCAACACTTACAATAGCAACTGCTTATTCATTTCCCTTTTTTAGGTCCAGTGGATTAAGCAAACCAGAAACAGATTAGTCAAGACTGTATAAAAGGAAAGTCTCTGTACGTCAACTGTCATAACTCATTTTCCATTTAATTCCTACTGTGTCATGTACAATGTTTACAATATTTACAATACCCAGCTCAGCTTCATGTATTTATTTCTTCTAAAAATAAAACAGTGTTTGCTATTTTCATGGCATGCATTAAATTGTACCTTAATTTTTTTCTCTTGCATTGACACACAGATGCGTTCTCTTAGGGGTTTTATCGAATTATTCACCTGTGTGGGAGACCTATGTCAAAAAAAAAAAAGGCAAAAATTTATTGCTATGGTTGGAATGTTTGTTTCCCTCCAAATTCACGTTGAAACTTAATTCCCAATACAATCTAGTTTTTCCTCAACTTATGATGGGGTTACCTCCCAGATAAACTCATCATAAATTAAAAATACCATTAAGTCAAAAATGCATTTAATACACCCAATCCACCGAACATCATAGTTTAGCCTAGCCTATCTTAAACATGGAATTAGCTGGAATTAGTACATTCCAATATCTGTTGGGCAAAATCATCAGGCAACACAGCAGAGTATCAGTTGTTTACCGCCATGATCATGTGGCTATCTGAATACTGTGGTTCACTGCTGCTTCCCAGAATCATGAGAGAATATTGTTCTACATATTGCTAGCTCAGGAAAAGATCCAAATTCAAATTTCGAGGCACAGTTTCTACTGAATGTGTACAGCTTTCACACAATTGTAAAGTCATGTGAAGGTAAATCACAAGTCAAACCATCATAAGTTGGGGACCATCTGTGGTATTAAGAGGTGGGGCCTCAGGGTGATTAAATCATGAGGACTCTGCCTTCATGAACAGGATTAGTGCCGTTATGAAAGGGTTTGTGGGAGCACTTTTTGCCCTTCAGTCTTCCCAGCCACGTGAAAACCCAGCAAGAAAATCTAATCTATGGGGAAGAGGCCCTCATCAGACACCAAATCTGCTGGTGCCTTGATCTTAAGACTTCCAGACTCCAGAACTATGAGAAACAAATTTTTGTTATTTACAAATTATCTAGTCTGGGGTGTTTTGTTCTAACAGCCTGAAGAGATGAAGACACTTACAAACCAAAATGGCTTTTAAACTAGTATCTGCCCCGCCCCTACCCAAAAGCACAGTTATAGGATAAAGGACCACTAAATCTACTTGTTTATAATACGGTCATGTGCTGCATAACAACATTTTGGTCAACAACATACCACATATTTGACAGTGATGCCATAAGATTATGATGAAGCTGAAAAATTCCTATCACATAAATACTTACCTTTATGTTACTATTTCTTTATACTATTTAGTACAATAACATACTGTACAGGTTTGTAGCCTAGGTGTGTAATAGGCTATACCATCTAGGTTTGTGTAAGTATACTCTATAATGTTCACATGACAAAATTGCCTAACGATGCCTTTATCAGAATGTATCCCATCATTAAACAATGCATAACTGTACTTTATAAAAGTGTCATTATTTCTATTCTGAGAATCCTAAATATTAATAGTTTGCTTAGTCAATCCAGTAACTAAATGTTTCATGAGCTTCTACTATTTGTAAGGCACTATACAAGATATTGTGAAGAATAGAAAGTTGACTTATTTATTGACCCTATATTCAGGCATCCTGAAGTCTAAGTAAAGAATATAAGAAATCCACATAACTGAAATTCAAAATAGTATGAGAATTCAAAAGAGAAAAACATAGAAATAGGAGGGTCAGAGAAGGTAAAAAGGAGAAGACCCACCCTATAGTTTTGGATTCAGACCAACTTGAATACCTTAATAAATTAATCCCTTTTGGCTTAATAGAGCCAGAATTAGAACCCCCTTGACTCAAATGACTACTAAGCAAGAATAAAAGATTGCCTGCCCTAAGAAAGAATAGTTGATAACCTTAAATTGATATACCTCATTGTCCTTAATTTTATCATTTCAGTGTAGACCACTGAAAATTTACTTTACCACAGACCAGTGTTTGTCTGCACAATGACAATTAGAAATGCGAATGCAGAATCCAAACTGTGAACAATAGCAATGTGTTCAGTGACATGATTAAGTATAGAAAAACCTTTTCTTTCTTGCTCTGTCACCTAGGAGAGAGTGCAGTGGTGCAATCATAGCTCACTGCGGCCTCAAGCAATCCTGGGCTCCCAAGTAGCTGGGACTACAGGCATGCACCACCTCAGGCTCCCAAGTAGCTGGTACTACAAGCATGCACCACCACACTGGGTAATTCTTTTTTATTTTTGCAGAGATAGAGTCTTACTATGTTGCACAGATTGGACTCAAACTGCTGGTCTCTGGCAATGCTCCTGTCTTGGCCTCCTAAAGCTCCGGGATTATTAGCATAAGACACCATGCCTGGCCTAGAAAGATTCCTTTTTAAAATGGACTCTGGGATTAAATTTGTTAGAATAAAAATTTCATGAAAGGAAAATAACTTTAAGAAAATGAATTCAGTCTGAGAGAAAATTGAAATTATTTACATTTCTACCCAAAAGCAAACTTGTTAAACAGAAGTAAGATGAAAAGAGAAAAAATAAAAGTTCATTTATTTCTTTTTACTGTTTTCTGGGATCCCAGCAGCAGGTATAAGTAAATCACTGATAAAAATATTTATCGTTAATAAAATATTTGGGCATTCTAAGGTAGAATGTGGAAGAATTATTTCATGTCCAGATATAAAAGAATAGTCATGGAAGTTGGTAAAGAAGATGAGATTTTAAGGAATAGATGACAACACTGAATGACAGACCACTGTAAAGTTTCTGTTTAAAGAGAAGAGAAAGGATACTGAGGCATAGGAGAGAGTATGTGAAGCAATCATGAAGCCAGATTTCAATAAAATAGCTCCAGTAGAAAATAGAAGAGATCAAGCGGTACGATAATTTTGTGAAAATTCTCTACAGTGTACTAAATACAATTTAAAATGGTTGTTCTAAAAATTTTAATGTTTCTCAAAGTGAATGTCCAATTAATTAAAAATATCAACAACCTACTCAACGACTGACCTAATCATTAAAACTGGAGAGCATCTACTATAGATGAAACTGCATCACCCATATATATATATCTATATGCCTTAACTCCCAAATGTGACTGTATTTGGGCCTTTTAGGAGGTAATTAAGATTAAATGAGGTCACATGGGTGGGATCCAAATCTAACAGGACTGGTGGCCTTACAAGAAGACAAAGAGATCTCTCTCCATGTGCTTCTACCAAGGAAAGGACATGTGACCACACAGCAAAAAGGCAGTTATCTGCAACCCAAGGGGAAAGCCCTCACCAGCCCTGACCATGCTGGCACCCTGCATCTCCAGCTTCCAGCCCAAAGAGAAAATAGGTTTCTATTGTTTAAGCTACCCAGTCTGTAGTATTTTGTTATGCCAGCCTGAGTAGACGAAGACAGCATCAATGTCTTACACATAATACCAGCATTAATTTGGTAAATATTTTTCTTCATAATTTGAGGGAGAAGCAGGAGCTGTCAATTCCAGTGTAAGTTTGGTGTATGTGCTCTCTCTTATTCTAGGCAGAATAGTAGTCCTGAGAGCATAGGCCTCAGGCTTTAAGAAAGACACCCTTGCTAATTGCTAACATACCTCACTTGGGCAAATTACTTAATATCTCTCAAGTCTCTAATTCTTCACTTATAAAGTGGAGCCTCTAATTCTTCACTTAAGAACATGTTGGTTGGGAAGGCTGAAATAATTTAACTGAAACATTTAGCAAAATTCTTGACCCACAGCAAAGGAAATAAATATTTTCAAAGCAAAACAACAAGAACTAAAAACAACACTGAAACCAAAGACATCTCTCAGGCTGTACTCTCATAAAATATTACTTCTTTTATATATAACCTCTTTGAATTCAAATGTTCAATCTCCCTTTAATTAACTTTTATTTTCTTTCTTCACAATTTCTGTAGTTTCTAAGTTTCCTACCATAAGCATACATTTCTTTTATAATTCTCTAGAGTTAACATTTATAACACATATAACTTCCACATAACTTACCTAAAAAGTGTAAGAATAGACGTTCCATGATGATGGATTGTGTTTTCCTCATCATATAAAAGCTCTGCTTTGTTTTTGGTAGGAGCATTAGCTGCTTCTTCGTCCAAAAGAACTAATAAGGCTTTCACAGTATCTCTGCCACAGTATGCAGTACCATGGTTTATGGCATGAGATTTTGGCTGAGACAAAAAATAATTTTAGGTAAATGTAATAATCACCCCAGCTGGGTGAATGGCCATACTTTTAAATTCCCTGTGGCACTGGCCTCTTTCATCTATTGTTAAAGTAATAAAACATCAGCTATAAGAAGTGGCTGTGAGGCATGTGACCATTTTTCCTTAAGCCATGCTATAATCAACTTTACCAATTCCAAAAGCACAAAAATAATATCATCAAAAGAAGACATTAGGTTCTGGTCAAAATAACATTAGGCTTTGAGTCAGAAAACTTTAGCCACTATCTAGCTATGTGACATCAGCCCCATGGCTCAACATCTCTATTTATTTTTTCTCTCTTATGCCAAAGAATGATGAGGTTCTGGCTATCTGAATACAGGCCCCATGGATGACTGTAACGATCAAATGCAAAAATGAAAAGCTAGTTGACATTCATTCATTCAATAATCATTGATAAGCATATACTATGTCCCAAGCACTATATTTAAAGCTAAGGTTCCAAAGGTAACAACCATTGCCTTCAAAGAACCCATAGTTTCCTTGATAAGATAAATAAGTAACTGACAATTGCATTACAGAATGCTAAGTGCTATTTCTAATAAGTGTACGCACAGTGCAGTGGGAGTACAAAAGAAGTGACCAATGTACCCTGGCATCAAAGATGATTCCACAGAGGAGGAGGCACCCAGAGGAAGAAGAGAGCATGGTGCTTTCAGGGACCAGGTAGCATGGCATGGCTGAAGAATAAGGTAAAAGGGAGGAAGTGGTATGAGATGAGCCTGGGAAACTTTGTATATCATGCCAAGAAGTTATAAGCCAGTCTGTTACAGAGGAAAAATCTCTTGCTTCAGTAAGCAAGGAAGTAAAATGATCCTGTTTAGATTTTAAAGAACCAATGATGGCAATGTGTAAAATATATTGTGAGATACGAATGTTATCAAATCTGGAGACAGGTCACAAATTAAAGACTATAATAGAACAGTTTAGAAATGGAGAGTTCTGAACTAAGATAGTAGTAATAGAGATAAAGCAGATTAAAAAGGGAAAGCTGAAAAAAACTTCATGACTAGATAGAATAAAATAAAATATATAATAATAAAATATTATGTATAGATACATGTAAGCACAAACTCTGAAGGCATTTCTGGCTGGATTTGATACCAACTGCTTAGTTGTATATCCTGTATAACTCTGGAGAAGGTGCTTGAACTCTCTTCTTAAACTCCATGACAAAATAGAGGCAATGATAATGCCTAACCCAGAGGGTTGCTGGACATTATACCTAGATATCAAAGCTACATCTTCTGGGACATCTGTTATAAGCTGTGCCAGTTTCTTCAGCTTTCATCAATATCATCTTGGCCTTCTTTCTCTGTTGGCAGACTCAGGTTACCAGGTGAACTATAATGTATATAGCTCTACTGGAATTATAACAAATTGCCTATCACAATCTGGTGCTTCACATATATTTTTCATTAGTACCACAGAATTCCATATTCCTTAATAGTAACTTCATGAGTATCATTTGATTATATTTTTCAAAGATCTCTGATTTGGTTGAAAACATGAAATTAAGAACCAGATTGTTGGTATCTTTATTTCTTCTGCCAAGAAATGGAAGCAATTGATGTTTTTAATTATTTGAAGTTGACAGATTCTGATTGATACTTATAGTAATAACCTGGTTGTCATTTGAGCCAAACTATTCACCAGGAAGTGTTAACACCCATGAAATACACAGGTCAACAACCCTGAATCTTCCCCACCTTCAAAGTAAATCTAAAAACAAGCACTGTTATAGAAAAATAGCTAAAAGTGGTCCCAGAGTGCTGTGAGTAAATGAATGAACGAATGAATGATAAATAATAAAAATTAAGCAAAAGTCTTTCTTCATACACTGGCTACCATAATCATACCTAATAAAAAGGGGCTATTAGAAAGTTGAATAAATTGCAATAAACGAACTATACTACTCTAAAATTCTGTTCTAAAAACACAGTAGTCAATTTCTCTTATAATTCTGTGGGTTAGAATCTACTCTATTTAATTATCTCTGTAAAAAAAAAATTAAGAATAAGTAAATGTTCTGGGAATATATAGTTTAAAAATTGCCAGGTACAGGTTTTAGTAATGGAGGTAGAAAACAAGAGACAGAGATTTATAAAAGAAAAGTAAACTGCTGAATGGAAGCAATTTCTAACAGGACTGTTGTTGTCCTAATACAATGCTTAGTATTAAAGTCAGAAACAGAAAAAACAGGCTTTTATTTTATATCTGAGTAAATGGGAAAGTAATTGTTTATGAGAATATTTAGGCCAGGCGTGGTGGCTCATGCCTGTAATCCCAGCACTTTGGGAGGCCGAGGCGGGCAGATCACGAGGTCAGGAGTTTGAGACTAGCCTGGCCAACATAGTGAAACCCCATCTCTACTAAAAATACAAAAAATTAGCCAGGCATGGTGGCAGGTGCCTGTAATTCCAGCTACTCGGGAGGCTGAGGCAGGAGAATTGCTTGAACCCAGGAGGCAGAGGTTGCAGTGAACCAAGATCGTGCCATTGCACTACAGTCTGGGCTACAAGAGTGAAACTCCGTCTCAAAAAAAAAAAAAAGAATATTTATGGAAAAATAGCATAAAACACCTTAATATCCATCAAGAATTATAAGTTTTTAGTACTAAAAGGGATACCAGAGATTACCCTATGCCTTACTTTAACAAATTCAGAAATTTGGCCCAAATATGTGATAATTTACCCAAGTTGAACATGTAATCCTACATAATCCTATTGAGAAACTTACATTTTCAATATCATTTTAGAACACAGGAAACACACTCTTCTGACTTAAGTAGCAATAATAAACCATTTCTACAATAAATAGAAGAGATAATGATTTGTATAAAAGGATAATGAAAAATAAAAAGCTCATTACCCGAGCAGGACTGATGTCAGTGGTGCTAAGAGCTACAACACCTTCTTGAGAATTGATAATATTTTTAATCCTCAAATCCAAATCCTGAGCAACTTCCTCTATTGCTTTGCAAAAAGGATCCCTGCTGTTTTGGCCTTTAATCAGTTGCATCTTTATCACTGACAGTATTTGACCCCCT
Organism: Homo sapiens; assembly: GCF_000001405.40. Classification (NCBI taxonomy): domain Eukaryota; kingdom Metazoa; phylum Chordata; class Mammalia; order Primates; family Hominidae; genus Homo; species Homo sapiens. The sequence continues at coordinate 102,175,488 of NC_000012.12, read as the reverse complement.
GCAATGCTGAAAATAGAAATTAGATTGCCTCTATAGCAGTATTGCAAATTATAATATGCTTATAGACTTGAAAATATAATTTTCAGAGTTAACACTTTTCAAAGAATATAGCTTTGATCTTATATATCAAACAGTTAAAGCATTTAAGAAAAAGATAAGGACCATTAGAAACAAAATTTAAAAGTTTGTCTAAAAGCAAGTAATTTCAATAAGTTTCTTCTTCCTTGATTTGAAAGCTGATGGGAAATAATTTAGTTATATGTGAAATATAACAGGTTCAGAAGTGGTTGTACACATGCAATATATTTAAAATATATACCTTTAGATACAACTAAAATAACAAGAACAGTTATCTCTCATTGAATATCTAGACTCTTACATTCATTTAATCTTAAAACCAATTCAGTAAGTTGATATTATTATCCCTACATCACAAATGAGAAAATTTGAGTCCCACAAAGGTTAAATGGTTTGTCCAAGAACATATGGTGTTCTGTGTGAGGGAAGAGACAGGGAGGAAGGAAACTGACGTGAAAAACATGATATTGCATTCTAATAAGTGAAAGGTTTTATTACATGGAAGAGGAAACTAAGCAAGTTAGTAATGACCTAAAGCAAACAAGAAACTGGACCAACTATGGCCAACAGACAAGTGTTTTTAAAAACCCGAAATTGATATTTCTTTATACCACACCTAAAATTAAGAGTTTGGGTTGCAGCTTCTGCTCTAAAGGACAAATGTGAGAAACATATAAGAGGAAGGATTTTGGTCCGTTTTAAGGAAGAAATGAGGTGTGTCCAATAGAAGAGGATTCTCTTTTAAAGCCAGGAGATCCCATCCCTAGAGGTATCACTGGAAAGGCAGCACAGTGCCAAATGAGAAACTGGTGTGGTCTGACTACAGACCATGAAGTCAGGCTGCCTGAGCACATATCACAGCTCTGCCACTTTCAACCTTGGGTATGCTATTAAATTTCTCTTTTGTAGTGGCATAAAGGAAATTATGAAATGAAGTTTTCACTCTCGCCTTATTGCCAGGTTGTATGTTTTACAGAAATGCCAGGTTCCCTAACAAGCTAGAAAGAGATGAATGTCCACATTTAAGTAGCTGGTCCAGATAGAAGAGGAAAGTTAGAAGAAAATTGCAGAGAGACTTAGTGTATGATGACAATGCATTTTCCTAATCATCAGACTCATATCCGGCATTTGTTTAAAACATCAACTCCAGATCCCATCCTATGGAATTACAATCTCCAGAGAAGAGCACTAAATGTTTGCATTGTGTTAAAAGTACCACAGGTGATTCTTATGATTAGGCAAGGGTGAGAAAAAAGTCATGAAAAAATCAGCTCCTTGAGAAAGCAATCATATTTTACTGATCTTCATACTGTCAGTTTACATTTGGCACACAGAAGAGATGATTGATGTATGTTTGTTGAATAAATGAATACTATCACATGCAACAATCTAAAGTTTTTAATAGTAAGACAAATGATATATATTTTACTATTCATATTATTATTATTTGCAATACAAAAGTACTTAGGTGGTGTCTACTTACACAATGGCATACTAGATACCCTGAAGAACATATCACCGAAGAGACAAAAATCTCCCAGTACCACCCAATCTCTCCCTCAAAAAGGAACCAACCAGAGCTGGCATGGTAAGCCGAAAGCTGTGCATAGTAAGCAAGCAGGATATCATCCTGAGGACAAACATCTCTAGTAACACTGTGATCAGGATACAAAGCTCAGGGATAGCAGCAAGGTGGAAGAGGACAAGCAGGGACTTTCACATTCAGTTTGAACCTTTCAAGGGAAAATAAGCTAGCATGGTTTTTACTAGATTTATTCTATGTATTTTATATTTTTGAAGTTTTTTTTAAAAAAAAATCCTTCTATTTAGTAATGATACAGAAATCCAATTGCATTTTGTTTATTGGCCTTGTGTCCAGCAACACTCTTAAACTGTACTGCCAATTGTAATAATTTGCCTTTACATTCTTGGAGTTTTCTATATAATTAGTCATATTATCATCAAATAGAATTTTATTTTTTCAACTGTTATATCTCCTATTTCTTTTTGTCTTACTACACTGAATTGGACATCTCATGCTATGTTGAAAAGAACTGATGACAGCAGGAACTCTTGTCTTATTCTTAAGCAGAACACTAAAACGTTTTACCATTAACTAGGTTTTTAGAGAAACCCTTTTGTCAAAGTAAAGCCCTTATTCTTAGTTTATTTTTACACTGAGGGCTTAGCCCTGTAGAATGGGTATGTGTTTCCTATTTATCTCCCCATGCTGGCCAGTTCCTGGGCTAAAAGCTGGCTTCCCTTCTTCACTTGCCTCGCTGGCTTTCCTCCTTCACCTATTTTTGACCTATATTTTCATTACATTTGCCTACTTACCAACGCATTTAAGAAGAATTTTTGAAATATGCTATCCAACATTATTAATTATTTTCAATGGAAGAATCAATCTGGGGGCCTAGTCTGCCATACTTCTGTAATCAGAAGTCTGAGTAGACCCTAGGAATTCTTTCACATATATGTGGACTTTCTTTTTCAGCTGTGAACTGGATGAAATGTAGCCAAAATGAAAACGTAATTAACATTATATGCTTTTCCTGGGAATTAATCTCTAATAGAAAAGAGTTTTGGAAAAGATTCAAATGGTTAATAAAATCTGGGACTGTCTTAGTGCCAATTATAAGAACAAAAAAAATGCTTCAAATGATATTAGGAAAGTCACCTTTGACCTCCTTTTCTCATTCCTTCTACATGACAAAAATGTTAAATTTTAAAGATGATGTAATTCACTGGCTGAATTGTATTTAGGAAAAAATAAGACTTGTATTTCAGAGACTTGCCAAGGTCAACATTTTGAAGCCATGGCAAAATACCCCAAACAGTAGTGCTCTGATTACTCCATTACTATATACTCACTTCTAGAGCCACCATTAGGTTAGCTTCTAATATCTGCTCAGCAACACAGTGGTTTAATTCAAATTCTTGCTTCTAAAGCCTAGAAACTCCAGAAGTTTTAACTAAAATGACATCAGGATATTTATGCTGTTCACCGGCAATACAAAAATGAATAAAATCTTTCTCTTTAAGAGCTCACAAGTGATAATGATACAATGAACTACTGAAAGTATAGACAAGTTTGAGTGGGGAAGTAGAGAGAAGGAGGAGGTATTCAGGAGTGCTTCCCAGAAGATATATTATGGCTATTCTGGATAAACATTAATAGGAGAATTTAGATGAGAAAGAGGCAAACTGAGCTCCTGACTCCTAACTGCATCACACCAGTGCCCTGGGGCAGAAAGAGAAACAAGAGGCTGCTGATGAAAAGCACAACTGAATCCCCAAGCTTGTACCAAAATAAAGTAACTGGAAGAGAACACTAAGCAATAATACAGACAAATGATTGGTAATACTTTAATGTAATTACTGAGTTCTTCACTTTCCTAAATAAAGTGACTGCTTTTCCATACCATACTCAAGAATTTGATAACTATTTGTTGAAGTAAATTTTACCTTTAAAAATTAAATGTAATTAAAGGTGCCACATAAAATATATGAAAAATATTTCTGAATTTTTTTTTTTTTTTGAGGCGGAGTCTCGTTCTGTTGCCCAGGCTGGACAGCAGTGGCGCGATCTCGGCTCACTGCAAGCTCCGCCTCCCGGGTTCACGCCATTCTCCTGCCTCAGCCTCCCGAGTAGCTGGGACTACAGGCGCCCGCCACCACCACACCTGGCTAATTTTTTGTATTTTTAGTAGAGACGGGGTTTCACCGTGTTAGCCAGGATGGTCTCGATCTCCTGACCTCGTGATCCGCCCGCCTCGGCCTCCCAAAGTGTTGAGATTACAGGTGTGAGCCACCAAGCCCGGCCATGAAATATTTTTAAACAAGAAAAACTTTAACATTAGGAGATTAGACTGAAAAATTTCAGTGAGATTTAACACTCCAAACATGTATATTTAGCCCAACATAAATAGTTATGTGCTGTATAATAACATTACAGTCAGCAACAGACCACATATATGATGGTAGTCCCATAATATTATAATGGAGCTGAAAAATTCCTATTGCCTAGTGATGTAACATCGTAGCATCATAGCTCAACACATCACTCACATGTTTGTGGTGATGCTTGTGTAAACAAACCTACTGTGCTGCCAGTAATATAATAGTATAGTGCACATAATTATGTTTAATACATAATACTTGGTCATTATAATAAATGACTCTTACTGGTTTATGTGTTTGCTATACCTTTTATCATTATTTTAGAGTGTACTCCTTCTACTTATTTAAAAAAAAAAAAAGCACTAACTGAAATAGTCTCAGGCAGGTCCTTCAGGAGGTATTCCTGAAGAAGGTGTTGTGACTGTAGGAGATGACACCTCCAGGGGTATTACTGCTCCTGAAGATTTTCCAGTGGGACAAGATGTGGAGGTGGAAGACAGTCATATTGATAATCCTGACCCTGTGTAGACCTAGGCTAATGTTTATGTTTGTGTCTTAATTTTAAACAAAAAAGTTTAAAAAGCAAAAAAAAAAAAAAAAAAGAAAAATTAAACAGAGAAAAGCATATAGAATAAGGATACAGAGAAAAAAATTCTGTACAGCTGTACAATGTATTTGTGTTTTAAGCTAAGTGTTACTACAAGACTCAAAAAGTTTCAAAATTTTAAAAAATTCATAGTCAAATTTTAAAGTTCATAAAGTTAGAGCAAGCTAAGTGTAATTTATTCTTGAAGAAAGAAATATTTGCTCTATAAATTTAGTGTGGCCTAGGTTTATAATGTGTATAAAGTCTACAAGAGTTTACAATAATGTTCCAGGCCTTCATATTCACTCACCACTCATCCAGAGCAACTTCAAGTGCTGCAAACTCCAGTCATGGCAAGTACCCTATGCTTATCTATGTTTATGTTTTATACTGCATTCTGAACAGGACCTTTTCAATGTTTAGATATGCTTAGCCACACAAATACCATTGTGTTACAATTGCCTACAGTATTTGATACAGTAACAGGCCATACAGGTTTGTAGCCTAGCAGCAATAGGCTATGCCATATAGCCTATGTGTGTGGCAGGCTACACCATCCAGGTTTGTGTATGTACAGTCTATGATGTTTGTACAGTGATGAAATTGCCTAACAATGCATTTCTGAGAGCATATTCTCATCAAGTGGCGCATGACAGTATAATGTAAATGTGCATTAAAAAGTTGTGTGATAAATGTGAAATACAGAATTTTCAACTTCTGAACAACAGGGAACTATTAATTGATACAACTTGAAACATCTCATTTAAGACATCTTTCAGGTGAAAGTACACTATGCATTTTATGGTGTCACCTACTGGCAAAGTGTAGAAATGCAGCCACCTATAGCTAAGATGGCCTCATGAAAAGTGGGCAGTGGGGCGATGAGTGTTCTTTATTTCTTCCCAGTCTGTCTATTCCACCCTTCCTTGGACTCAAACATTACTGTAATTTTTCTATTTAAAAATAAGTAGTATAAACTTTTCCTCAGATACAAGAGCTAAATACATTTTTATTTCTAAGTTTTAAGGTTGACAGAGACGAGGAGGATAAAGAGGTCAGAGTGAGAGATGGGCAGGAGTTAGAGCATAGACAGTTTTGTGTATCATATTGAGGTTCCTGAAGCTTTACCCTGTACCAAATATGGAATCACTGAAAAGTTTTAATTATGGGAGTAACATTTGTTGTTTCAGAAAAATCACTCTGGCAGCAATGAGGACGACAGGATAGGGCAACTTAAGACTGGAGGCAGAATAGACAACTCAGTGACACGTGAAAAGGTCCAGACAAGAAAGGATGAAAGTCTGAAACAGTAAACACTGGAAATAAAATAGTAGCTATAGGAAGAGATGAGGAGAAAGAACATAAAAAATGTGAAGTAAGAAAAAGTGACGGATCTTAGTGAGTGAATGTATTTAGGATATGCCCCAGATTCTTGTTTGGGAGCTGGAGAGAGACAGGCTTCATCGCTTCAGGAGGAGAAGCAGTTTTGCAGAGAAAGACAAAAATTTAGTTTAGGACATATGAGTTGCCTGTGAGGCACCATCTTAAAGATAGTTGAAGATATGTTTCTGAAACTCAGGAAAGAGGTTCGAATTTCACTGAAATATAGATTTAGAAGAATTTGCATATATGTAGTAGAAGAGGTAGGTGGAAAATAAGAGAATGACGTATCTGAAGTTATAGGAAAAAAGAGTTCCAATAGGAAATGACTAAATTTGAAGACTCAAAAGAGACCAAAGACTATGATAATTAGAAGATCACAAGTGACCACTGGCAGAATAGCTTCAGTAGAGGGAAAAAGTGAAGGAGTATAAATCAGTCAAGTACAGACAATCAAATAAATATTGACTGTCTATTCTGGCAAAAATTGTGCTAGGGCTAGGGAATATTGGTGAAGAAAACCAATAAACTCTCATTGAGTTTACTGTCTATTGAGAAATATACATTAAATACTTACAAAGAGGGAAGCAGAAAAAAGGAAAGTATTTTCTTTAAGAATATGAGCTGTAAAAGGAAGAAGGAACTGGAAGAAACAAAGAAGACAGTTTGTTGTTTATTTCTTATAAGCTTATAGAATGTGGCTAAAGTACTAGTAAAGGGAGAGGTTGAAATTATAAGATAAAATGAATAACCAGTGAAGCAATGTCCAAATGGGTTATCCACTTTCCCACCCACCATGTCTAGTTAACTCCTTCAAGTTCATCCTTCAAAATTAGGCTTAACTGTTAACACCCATCCAGATAAGCATTCTTGACACCCTTATCCCTGGCTCCCAGAAACCAGGTCAATTGCCCTTTCCTCTGTACACCTTCTATTAATATCTATTATGATATGCATAGGGTATATGTTTTTAGTTTTTAATAATTTTATTTTATTTATAAAACAAACCTATACCTACTGCAGAACAAAAATAAACAAACAAATCAACACAAAAAAGATAACAAAAATTGCTCAAGTGGACTATTCAGATACCCAGTTGAAGACATTCACTATTTAGATACTCACTTCCTCAAGACCTTCTCTAGAAGATACTTCCTTATTATAACCACATGGAATATCCAAAATAAATGGCTGCTAAGTTGAAGAAGTCTATTCCCTCACCCTAGATGCCTCTAAAACAAATGTACTTCTACCCTGTTGACCACAACCAGAAATTCCTCCAAAAGGAATGTAATTATAACAAACCATATTGGATTGAACATACACATTTATCTCTGCTCTTTTCCAAAACTTCACTAAAATGACAAAAAAGCAAAAAACAAAAAAGTTTCCATCTATGAAGAAAAAGAGAATGAGAGAGGAAACAACAGCTGATGAGAGTAGAGGCATTTCATCAAAGTACAAAAAAATGAAAACAGATGGTTGAGTCATAACTAACTACCCAGAATACAAAAGCTAAAACCTAAGTAACTGCTAAGAGGAACATCAGTAAGAAGCAAACTCAGAAATTAATCAGAAATTGAAGGCAATACTGATGGCTATGTAAAGGCAGGGTTGAAAACAGAAAAGCTAGTTGACAGTCTCCATAAGGAACACTTATACCCCCATTCTCCCTCTATTCTGAGCAGTCAGTCTAGTGCTTCTCTCCCACCTCAGCATGGGAAGCAGAACTGTTCTAAAGAAACTATGAGAGGCTCCAGACCCAGGGGCAGCAGGACTAAAAACAAAGGAATTGAGTAAGTCTACATACGGAACTGTGAGACTCAGCATCAACGTGGACCTATCTCAAATCCCAGAATATTGCTAGCCAGATTTACAGCTTTCAGAGATTAAAAGATTCCTCTGTGGAAATTTTTGGGAAAGTCCCAAAGAAAAGATCTAAAGTTACTGACATTTGGAGAGTAAGTCTCCAACAAAAGAGCCAACTGGGCATCATGCTATAAATAAACCCACTATACAGAGCTACTAATCAGCTCTATAGGGCCTCACTCTTAAATATGAAAGGACAGTTCAGAATCACCACACATTGTGGGAACACCTCTACTATGAAAGAGGGCAAAAAAAAGAAAGTAAAAAACAGAAAAGCATCCAATCTAGATAAAACAAAGACCATTCAGGAAGCAGATAACAATATTTTTACATTAAATATAATAAATAATCTTAGAGAAATAAATGAAACATGACATAAAATCATATGCAACCAAATATAAGACTAACATAAAATATTTGCTTACCATTTACTTTTTCTGAGAAAGCTACTTGAGCAAAATAAGGGGTTTACCAATTAAAATAAAGTCATAAGAGCCAGGAAACAGGCAGAGACTGTTTCACGAGGTGAGGATGAAGGTTCATGGTTGCCACTCTGACACAGGCCTAACGAGCAAAAGCAAAGATTGAATAAAGATGACAGGGGACTTTCCAGAAGGAATATCTTCAAGGGCAAAAAACTGACAGATGACTGTAGTACCACCTGACTTTAACAAAATATATCTATATTGCCTTACAAAAAATTTTTTAAAAATTAAATATCTGATATTTCAATAGAAATGGCTCCCCAATATATTATCTGGAAGTTCAGAAGATGTCACTTATTTTGTCTCTAAGTTATTTTCAAAACCCTCTTCCAAATTTACTTCTTTGTAATGGATATCCATATGAGAAGACAGACTGCAATTCAGAATAAAATCCTGAAAAAAAATCCTTCTTAGAATCTTAGAATGGAATGAAGTTTCATGGAACAAGATATAGTCATTAAGAGAATGGATGCACAGTACTGACTGTGTTCAGATCCCTACTCTGCTACTTAATATAACCTAGGGCAAGTTACTTGATCCCTGTGTTTTAGTCTCTTCACCTCTAAATTAGGAATAGTAATAGTATCTATCAAGTCAGGTTGTTGTAATGATCAAATGATAATCTGAGTAAAGAACTTAGCACAATGTCTGACATGTAACAAGTGTTCAATAAATATCAGCTATTTTTATTATGTTTATTTATGTTATAGGATACCAAATTGACAATGATCCACCATGATTGCTAGCATTACAATCCACTTCTGCCCCTAAAACTTACTTACCACTCAATATACCAATATTATAAATGGGGGTCTATCAGATTTTTAAAAATCTCTTACCTCCAATATCATATAAAAACAAATCCCAGATGAACCAAAGATTTGCACATAAGAAAATGAAAAACAACAGAAAATAGAATAGGGATTTCATATCTTTGTCAATTTTCTTACTCATTCTTGATATCAGTTTCCTTTATTGCTAAATAAAAAATATACAGAAATTATCTGTCTGCTCATTGCCAGTCCTCAAAAATCTATTTCATCCAGATAAAAATAAATGGTAACTCTCTTCTCTAATCAAATTTAGTATGGATGTGACTTTTGACTTTGGCCAAAACTCAGAATCACAGGCAGAAATTTAGGAGGTAAGGTCATGTGATTATAATTTATTCATCTAGATTTTGTTTCTTCGCCTCACCGTTTGGTCTGATGCTTGGTCATTTCAATATCCCTTATTTCTACCCAATTCTGTAAAGTTTTAAAGATAGATTAAAAACATATTTGTAATATATGAAAAGTCATTACCTTGGGTTTGGTATTTCTCCAAGAATCTCATCTAATTTGTCAATGAAATTAATAAAATTAGACAATCCCTTTACATGTGTCCTTAAAGGATCTGATGGTGGTGGTGCATATCCTTTCCCTCCAAGCTCTATTGTTCTAATAAAAGACGTGGCCACCTATGAATTAAAACAAACGGATAAGTTATGTCCAGTGATTTATTAAACTGTAATTTACTTCATAAAGCTAAGTAAATCTATATAATTCTGGGTATACAGTTAAAAGTGAAGCACATTTTATGGCTCATGACACACTTTGAGTCAGAAGTAAATAACCAAAGAAACAAATGCCATGCAGAATTCATGCTAGCAAGTGTGGTGGCAATGACACCCAGCTGCAGATTGAGGCTGAGGAGCTGAGTTAGGGGACAAATTAAGAGCTAAAGTATATTAATTAGAATGTATTATTGACTCTAAAGAACTCATTTATGAATATATTATAATATAGTTGACTACTAGCTATTGAAATTGTTACATGGAACAAGGGAATTTTTAGCGTCAGCTGATCTGTTGTGTTAAACAGGTGAATTGGTTGGGCAATTTAACACTTCCAAACCTCAGCCTCTCTATTTGTAAAATAAAAATACAGACTAGATAATCACTAAGTTACATCCAGCTTTCCCATCCTGGGATCATGTATAGTTCAAAAGGCTTGTCCTTACAATGATAAAAATACATATGTGATAGCTGTACGTAAGTGTTCCAATCAAACATGAAATGTTCCAAGGTACATTCTAAGAAAGACAAATCCTGTGAAATGTCGATAATTTAGGGGAAAGTTCTATGGTCAAATAAATTAGGAAACAACAGATTAAATAACAAGCTTAATTTGCTACAAGCAGATTTCTTTATGGCAGGACTTCTCAGAGCTCTTATATACAATCATGGATTATGTATAACCAATAAGGGTATATACTACTTCTAAACATTTTGCCCTTGGAAACATTTATTCAAAGAACATTTAACAGAAACGTTTTGACACTGGAAACATTTATTCACAGAGAATTTATCAGGGCTAGCACTATACAGAACATATGTAAGGAAACACTGCTTTAGAGAAATTCTCCTTTACCAAACTTGAACGATATGGTAAAAAATTAAAATACCATGGATTTTCAAATACAGAGGTAGAACATAAATTAACCACTTAAAAGTTGTTTCATCCTAGTTACAAGCATATTAGGATACATGGATCCACTGTGCAAGGAGTCTTAATTTTGAACATGTCACACAACCATACCAAAAAGATAGACATTTGTTTCTCTCGAGCAGCATGTTTCAAATCAGTGAAGGCTTCTCTTCCTAGTCCTCTATCAGGAATATTGAGAATATAAGCCACAGCCAGGTCATTCTTTGAATTCACTAGCAGATTTAAATATGAAAAGATAATTTTCCTTGCTAGCAGCTGCACCTGTGCAATAAAATATTCAGTTAATTTCTTTATTGCAGTTCTTCTAAATCCATAATCTTTTTCATAAGCAGTAAAAATGTATGTAATCATTCAATCACAATACCTCACTTAACTCTTTAGAAAAATAAAACTGCCATATAAAAACAGGTTGGGCAATCAATAAACTCCATCTCTCCCCAAATTCTTGACTGACTACCAAATTTGGCAGGCAGAGGGGAGACCTACAAAAATCCAGCTAAAAAAAGCAGCAAAGGAAGACTCAAGAACAGATATCAGCAGTTGTATACCAACATAGAATGGAGACAGAGTATTAAGTTGGAATTCAGGCAAGTCAGTTGCCCACTAGCACGAAAACACAATATTTCTCAGAAGAACATAGAGGAATCCAGAGTTGTTATAAAATATTACCTATAATATCCAGTTTTCATCCAAAAATCAATAAACAAAGAAAAAAGAAGGTGTGCCCCCCCTACTCAAGGTAAAAAGTAGTCAACAGAAATTGTCACCAAGTAGACCTAGATGCTGAGTTTAGGAGAAAAACATCAAGGCAGTTATTATGAATTATGTTCAAGATATTAACAGGAAATATGTTCAATGAATTAAAAGAATATCTGTTACCAACAAATTAACAGAGGGAATGTCAACAGAAAAGTGGACAAAATAAATTCTGGAAATGAAAAGTACAATAAGTAAAACAAAATTTGCTTGATGGGTTCAACAGCAACTTGGAGAGAGTAGAAGAAAGTATTGTTGAACTTATAGACAAACCAATAGATATTATCAAATCTGAAAAACAAAGGAGAACAACAACAACAAAAAAGATGAAAGAATCAAAGGGATTAATGAGACAATTTAAGAGGTCAAACATACACGTAATTGGAATCCCTGAAGAGAAGTGAAAAGAGTAGAAAAAATACATGAATACATTTTGTCCCAAAGCATCCCAAATTTAGTAGAAAACATTAACTTATAGATCCAATAAGCTATTTAAGTAGGAAAACCAAACAAAATGAATATAAACTCTGACAGCCAAAAGTAAGAGAAAATCTTGAGTGCAGCCAGAACAAAATGACACATTACCTACAGAGGAACAATAATAAGGTTAACAAATCATCCAGAAGTATGTAGGCCAGATGATATTGGAACAGTATATTAAAAATGCTGAGAAACAATCTAAATTACTATACGATTACAATAATTAAGATAGAGTAGTATTTACAAAAGAACACTCAGCTCAATGGAACAGAATAGCGTGCAGAAATAGACCAACACAAATATAGCAATCTGATTTTTCACAAATGTGCAAAAGGAACAATGAAGAAAAGACAGTCTTTTCAATAATTGGTGTTGGAGCAATTGGTCATCCATATGCAAAACACATGAACTTCAACTTAAACTTCACACCTTTTATAAAAGTAAACTCAAAGTGGATCATAAGTCTATAAATGTACAACATAAACTATTAAACTTTTAAAAGAAAACATAATAGAAAATCTTCATGACCTGGAATAAGGCAAAGAGTTCTTACATAAGACACCAGAAGCACAATGAGAAAAGGAAAAATAAAAAGATAAATTTCATTTCATCAAAATCAAATTCCTTTTTTTTTTTTCTTTTTTTGAGAAACAGGGTCTTGCTGTTAGGCTGGAGTGCAGTGGCACAATCAGGGCACACTGTAACCTCAACCTCCCAGGCTTAAGTGATCCTTCTGCCTCAGCTTCCCCGGTAGCTAGGATTACAGGCATGTGCCACCACAAGCAGCAAAACGTTTTTATTTTTTGTAGAGAAAAGGTCCCACTATGTTGCCCAGGTTGGTGTTGAACTCCTGGGCTCCAGTGATCCTTCTGCCTTGACCTCCAAAAGTGCTGGGAATACAGGTGTGAGCCACCATGAGCAGCGCAAAATTAAATTCCTTGCATGGAATTTTCTTCCTATTTTTGCCTTCTCAACTACTTCGATCCCACCTTCTGCTCTAGAATCCTGTTTCTAATTCTTATTGTTCCCAAACTGTCCACTTGAAATCATATTCTTGCCTATTCCCTCAGATAACAGACTCACGAATTCTAAACTCGATTCCCACTCAAAACACATGAAATTCAAAAATCCTTCAGTAATTTCAGTCACAACTAATATCCCCGGAATTTATCATCTGTAAATGCTAAGAAAATATTTCCCTTATTAAAACTAAAATTTCATCATATTCAATCTAATCACATGTTAAATTTTTGAAGCATAAAAGAAACTAAAAAAGGCAGCAATAAAAAATTACAAATCCTTAGCAAGCCTCTTAGATAGTTGTTAAGCATATACACCTTAAAATAAATTCAAAAGATAATATATTTTGACTGTTTAAGTTCCCATGCAAAAAACAATTATTAAAAAGTAGGAGGCAGGCAGGGTCAATTTAAAAGAAAAACTTCACTGGACAGGAAAGCATTGCCTTAAATATGGACTCGAGATAGAATTTAAGCAAAATTAATTACAAGAAAACAAAGTTTAAAGATTAACCATGAGAAAGATTTTTTCTTGCATATTAAGTAAATGTTACCTTTTCAGAGATGCTCCCTGATTCCCCAGTCTAAAGTAGACATTCATGTATTCTCTTTCCTGCCATCCTGTGATAACTCTGCATATCACCCTATTATAATTCTCTGCATACTTTTCTTTTTAATATTTTTTTAAGGATACAATATTTCACTATGTTGCCCAGCCTAATCTTGAACTCCTGGGCTCAAGTGATCCTCCTGCCTTGACCTCCCAAAGTGCTGGGATTACAGGCATGAGCCACCATGCCTAGCCACTTTCTGATAACGTTTCTTAATCCTCCTATTACTTTGTGAGTTCCATGAGAGCAAATCATCTGTCCTTAGATCCTAACAGAATGACTCGCATTATAGTAGGTAATCAATCTGTTTTTGTCAATAGGTTCTCAATGAGTTTTCATTCAATGATGAATGAAAGAAAAATTAATACATAAATTTGACTCTTTAAAAATTTCAAAATTAAAAATCTATTAAGAAAAACTTACCTGAGGCTGGGTGTGGTGGCTCACACCTGTAATCCCACCACTAGGAGGCCAAGGCAGGTGGGTCACTTGAGACCAAGAGTTCAAGACCAGCCTGGCCAACACAGCGAAACCCTGTCTCTACTAAAAATACAAAAAAATTAGCTGGACGTGGTGGCACACACCTGTAATCCCAGCTACTCGGGAGGCTGTGGCACAAGAATCACTTGAACCTGGGAGGTGTAGATTGCAGTGAGCCAAGATAATGCTACTGCACTCCAGCCTGAGCGACAGAATGAGACTGTCTCCAAAGAAAAAAAAACTTACCTGGGATAAAATAAATGCCATATTTTTTATTATGGTGCCTTACAAAGAAAGGTATTCTAAGTCACAACCAAATAAAAATAAGCTTTAAGGCTTCTCCTAAAATTTTATAAAATAATGTATAATATAGTTTTCTGATTATATATATATTTTTTTTTTTTGAGATGATGTTTCCCTCTTGTTGCCCAGGCTGGAGTGCAATGACACGATCTCGGCTCACCACAACCTCAGCCTCCCAAGTTCAAGTGATTCTCCTGCCTCAGCCTCCCAAGTAGCTGAGATTACAGGCATGTGCCGCCACGCCTGGCTAATTTTGTATTTTTAGTAGAGACGGGATTTCTCCATGTTGGTCAGGCTGGTGTCAAACTCCTAACCTCAGGTGATCTGCCTGCCTCAGCCTCCCAAAGTGCTGGGATTACAGGCGTTAACCACCATGCCCAGCCTCTGCTCATATTTCAAATGTCCTTTTATCTTTACTTTCACAGTAAATCACAATACTTCTATTACACAAGTCTATAATATGAGTTTCCATTTTAACTTCACAGTGCAATAGTCTAAGACACAATTCTTTGTATTCCTTTGACATCTGAGAAGAATAACACAATTTACCGAAAATCAAAGCAGAGAAAAAGTGACATTCACATTGTAATCAGAAACTTTTCCTACATTTAACTTAATGCAATCTCTATGTCACTGTGCTTCTGCTGTTCAAAAATAACAAGAACTTAACAAATATGTATATACCTGATCCTAATTGGGTAC
Organism: Homo sapiens; assembly: GCF_000001405.40. Taxonomy (NCBI): domain Eukaryota; kingdom Metazoa; phylum Chordata; class Mammalia; order Primates; family Hominidae; genus Homo; species Homo sapiens. The sequence continues at coordinate 102,160,347 of NC_000012.12, read as the reverse complement.
AAAACCAGGGCTTAAGCTCTCACATCTACAACTTGCTCTTTAAGGTTAGCAAATTTTGTCCTTCTGATCTGTGATGTTGGGCAAACTTCAGGGAAAAACATCTTGGAGTCCTCACAGTTAGAGTGTTTCTTTTAGCTCATGGCTGCAATTGGAAATCTATCCCTCTTATTATGGTCAGATAACATGGCTGTTATGGTTTCCTTGCTCTTGTATTTACAAGTGAGTTTTAAAGAGGTTCCCTGGAAAAGCAGTCCACATAAGTATAGTTATGATGTCCAAGAGCAAGGGCCTAAATTGAAAACATCCACAAGATTGAAGCCTTTACCAAAACACCAAAAATAAGGATACTGTTCTGTTTATTTGTTTAATAAACTGATTATATCCATACCACAAAGTATTTGCAATGTTTGTTTAGAAGCTGGACAATTTTATTTAAGCTTTCTGATAATTCCAAGTTTCTTTTCCTATCTCTTCTTACTGAGAGGCAGATATTCAACCTCAGTTTGAAGAAAGTCAGTTTTTCTAAGCTGAGAAGATTAACAATTTATACAGGGTCTTTTTTTAACTTTTGTTTGCCAATGCATAAATGCTTATATATACTGACAAAAAAAAAGTTGGACAAAAACTAAGATACTTAGTAGATTTTTTTTTTTAACTGATGATTTTCTTTTTCTGGCCTTTATTCTATTATTCCCTTCATTACTTCAGAATTTTAAAAGCAATGGTTTAGTACCTTAGGAAAAATAAAATGAAGTAAAATAAAATAAGGAAACAAAAATATTGTTTCTCAAATTCAATCCATTCACCTACTTGAAGACTGGTGTCATATTAGTAAACACATTTGATGGTCAAAATATTTCTCTGCAAGACTGAAGCCCAAAAATTCACATTAGGATTTTAATTAGAGCTACATTGACTTCCAGCTGGGTGCGGTGGCTCACGCCTGTAATTCCAGCACTTTGGGAGGCCGAGGTGGGTGGATCACGAGATCAGGAGTTCAAGACCAGCCTGGCCAACATGGTGAAACCCTGTCTCTACTAAAAATACAAAATTAGCCAGGCGTGGTGGCACGGCCTGTAATCCCAGCTGCTCAGGAGGCTAAGGCAGGAGAATTGCTTGAACCCAGGAGGCGGAGGTTGCAGTGAGCTGAGATCACACCACTGCACTCCAGCCTGGGTGACAGAGTGAAACTCCGTCTCAGAGGGGAAAAAAGAAATACACTGACTTCCAAAAAGACCTTGTAAAAAGAAAAATTAGAAACTGCAAGTAACAGAAGCATGGTTAGGAAGATGGCTGCCAATTTAATACTCCTCAGAAAATCAAATCCATTAGTTGAACTAGTAGGTAAAATTCTATTAGAAAATATAATCCAAGAAAGCAAAAGTTAGAAATTAGAGAATTAACACAATGAAACTATCAGTGTTGTTTAAATCAGGAAACTACATGCTTATAATCTTTAGTCACAGATACTCCTTTAAACTTTATAAGCCGAAGTTCTAAAAGCTTAATTCTTTTCACATATACAAATTGGTTCATTCCTCTTTAAAAATACAAATATAACAATTATAATTTCCTCCCTGTAGTACATACAGGATAGATAAAAGAGATCTTTAAGTAATCTACCCTTTTGATACACAAATACACTGCTTAAGCGCCACCGAGAAAAGATCAGGCAATTTGGCAATCACTTTGTCAAGATTTGGAGCATCAAGGGAAAAGAAAGGAAATGTAAGTGAAAAATTAATTTCAAGCAAGAGAAAATAGTTACAAATCTCTAAAAGGAACCAGGTCTGGGCAGGAAACATTCAAGGTGGGCTTGGGATATTTTCTTGTACCAGAAAAGAGGAAAATGCTTGAAAAGTCTACTAGAGCATGTAAAAAAGACACAAAAACCTGCTTGAAGCAGCTTCCTCTATTTTAGCATCAAAGATTAATGAGTGTAACTCATTTTAAAACAGTGAATAAATATAAATTCATGAATCCAAACAATAGACACACAAAAAGGAGAGCAATAAAAGAATAAATATCTAATTTGCTTATATTATATATAACTATTACACTAACCCCTAAATTGGTAGAGAATTGAGGAGTTACCCTGAGATTTTTAGAGAAGGGTACTTCATCTCATTTGATAAGATAAAGCTTTATTGAGAAATGGCAAGTAATTAATGTAAAGACATAACAGAATTAGAAGCTCACTATTCTTTTTTTTTTTTTTTTTTTTTTTGAGATGGAGTCTCGCACTCCCTCCCAGGCTGGAGTGCAGTGGCACCATCTCGGCTCACTGCAAGCTCCCGCCTCCCAGGTTCACGCCATTCTCCTGCCTCAGCCTCCAGAGTAGCTGGGACTACAGGCGCCCACCATTACACCTGGCTACTTTTTTGTATTTTTAGTAGAGACGAGGGTTCACCGTGTTAGCCAGGATGGTCTCGATCTCCTGACCTTGTGATCCACTCGCCTCAGCCTCCCAAAGTGCTGGGATTACAGGCGTGAGCCACCGTGCCTGGCCAGAAGCTCACTATTCTATAGATACTACAGAAATAACTGATTCAAGTCAGGATCATCAATGCTTAAAACCATTAGATAAAAGGTTATTGAGAAACAGGATTATTTATACAGTGCCAAAGTGTCACCTCACAGATCTTTGCTGACAGCAAAGGAAAAACTACATCTTTGTACTGGAGAGACCTGGCAATTCAGGATAACCTGAGTTTGTTTCCCAATAAGATATAAAATGAAATACTCTGCATCAGTTAAGAAGTATTTCTTAGGAAATATTAAACCAAAATCTAAGCAAGATTTCAGATATCACTTCCAGTTTATTGGAAATACAGCAAATAGAGAAACAAGTTAAATAATACCACAAGGAATTAATCAGAAAATTAAAAAAAAAAAAGATTAGGGGAATTCTTCTGGAGTAAAAGAGTCTAAGGAGATATAAAACCATTTTGGGGACAAATGGAGAAATTTAAATATGGAAGTTAGTAAATGATATTTTAAAATACTTATTTAAATTTTCTTATTTCTTATATTGCGGTTATGCCATTACTTTTAGGAAATGTACGCTAAAGAATTCCAGGGACCCACATGTCAGCAACTTACTTTCAAATAGGACAGAAAAAATATCAGATGCACATATAAAACACTTTATTAAATCTAGAGTATTACAAGAGTATTACAAGAGACATACAAGAGTATTACAAGAGACATACAAGTATTTGAGGGCACTGATAAAATATATATTTTAAGTGCAATCTATTTAACATGGGACATATAGAAGAATCTACCTCAGCAATGTTTGTCAAAAATGAAGGTGATTCACCAAATGTGTTAACTTACTGGAACAGGTGATTTTGGAAGTAAATGCATTCTAGACCATTTACATATCATATTTCTAAAATATGTTGGCTGGGCACAGTGTCTCATGCCTGTAATCCCAGCACTTTGGGAGACCAAGGCAGGCAGATCACTTGAGGTCAGGAGTTCGAAGCCAGCCTGACCATCATAGTAAAACCTGGTCTCTACTAAAAATACAAAACTTAGCCAGGCGTGGTGGTGCACGCTTGTAATCCCAGCTACTTGGGAGGCTGAGGTGGGAGGATCGCTTGAACCTGGGAGGCAGTGGTTGCAGTAAGTGGAGATCGTGCCACACTGCACTTCAGCCTGGGCAACACAGTAAGCCTCTGCCTCAAAAAAATAATAAGCAAAATAAATAAAACAAAAATAATTAAAATATGTTGAATATAATTTTACTTTTTTCAACACTCTTAAATTCTCATCTTGTCAATGGTGATTTTATTAATCACAGAAACTTTGCCAAGAGTTAAGCCCCGTAAAATATTTAAGGTTAATTCTGGGCCGGGCGCAGTGGCTCACACCTGTAATCCCAGCACTTTGGGAGGCCAAGGTGGGCGGATCACGAGGTCAGGAGATTGAGACCAACCTGGCTAACAGGGTGAAACCCCATCTCTACTAAAAATACAAAAAAAAAAAATTAGCTGGGTGTGGTGGTGGGCACCTGTAGTCCCAGCTACGCGGGAGGCTGAGGAAGGAGAATGGCATGAACACGGGAGGCGGAGCTTCCAATGAGCCGAGATTGCGCCACTGCACTCCAGTCTGGGTGACAGAAGGAGACACCGTCTCAAAAAAAAAAAAAAAAAAAAAAAAAAAAGGAAGGTTAATTCTGAGCCAAATATGAGTGATCATGGTGTTATCAGGGTGTCCTTGTTCTTAGAGCTCCCAAGATGGTGGCGGGCCACTTTCAAGATGGCAGCAAGCCTCTTGTTCTCTGACCTGGGGTTCTTGGCCTCACAGATTCCAAGGAATGGAATCTGGGGCCACGCAGTGAGTGTTATAGCTCTATTAGAAGCCGTGGGTCACGGAAGAGAACCGTGGAACCCAGCGACTAGTGTTCAGCTCGATTAGGATGAACCTGGGCATTTAGCCATGCAGGAACAATGGCAAGCCTTTAGCCGCTTGGGAGCAGCAATGAGCGCCTGGCTAGATCAGGAGCACAGCGGACATCCTACCAAAGTCAGCAGCAGGTCTGCAACAGCCACAGACAGCAGTGGTGGACTGGAGCAAAAGCTCTGCTCAAGCCATAACAAACACGGACCAGAAGAGTGTGCAGTTGCAAGATTTAATAGGGTGAAAACAGAGCTCCCATAAAATGGGAGGGGACCCAAAGGGTGTTGAAGTTCCTGCTCGAATGCCTGGGTTTATATTCCAATCATTGTCCCCGCCCCCCCCCCCCACCATGCTCTCAGGCGATAGATGATTGGCTATTTCTTTACCTCCTGTTTTAGCCTAATTAGCATTTTAGTGAGCTGTCTTTACTACCTGATTGGTTGAGTGTGAGCTAAGTTGCAAGCCACTTGTTTAAAGGTGGATGCGGTCACCTTCCCAGCTAGGCTTAGGAATCCTTAGTCGGCCTAGGAAATCCAGCTAGTCCTGTCTCTCAATGGCCTGAGGCATAGTCTCAAGAGATCCTGAGAACATGTGCCCAAGGTGGTTGGGTTATAGCTTGGTTATATATGGTTTTTTTGTTTTGTTTTTGTTTTTTTTTGAGATGGAGTCTTCCTCTGTCACTCAGGCTGGAGTGCAGTGGTGTGATCTCAGCTCACTGTAACCTCCACCTCCCTGGTTCAAGCAATTCCCCTGCCTCAGCCTCCCAAGTAGCTGAGGTAATATATGTTTTAGAGAGACATAAGACATCAATCAGTACATGTGAGGTAAAGATTGGTTCAGCCTGGAAAGGTGGGACACCTTGAAATGGGGCTTATAGGTCATAGGTAGATTCAAAGATTTTCTGATTGGCAAGCAATTGGTTGAAAGAATTATTATCTAAAGACCTGGAATCAGTAGAAAGGAGTCTCTGGTTTAAGATATGGGATTGTGAAGACCAAGGTTCTTATTATGTAGATGACGTCTCATAGGTGGCCACCCTTAGAAACAATAGATGGCAAATGCTTCCTATTAAAAGGTGCTAGACTCTCAGTTATCTCTTCAGGACTGGGAGGGCCTGGAAGGGGAAAGATTTAGTTAATTGATATCCTTTACAAACGCAAATTTTCCTCCACAAAAGACAGCTTTGTAGGACCATTTCAAAATATGGCAAAGAAACATATTTTGGGGTAAAATATTTTTATTTCCTTCTCTATCTGTCATGTGATGTTATGCCAGAGTCAGGCTGGAAAGTAAACCACATTATAGAGGGTTAAATAAAACCCATCTGATGAGATGTTACAGTTTAGAAGGTATGACTCCCCAGGCCCCTTAAATAGGAATTTGGGCAAGAGAGAAAAAAGGTCATAGTTTAGTCCCCGTTTTCGTAAGTACTACTACTATGGTTAGTGGGGTTACCATATATGTTTAGGTACCCAGCATAGTATTCAGCTGAACGTAAATTATATTAAACCAAACTTGTATGTGGCACTACTTTTCGGTGGTTTATACGACAAACCCTATCATCCAAACTCCTGATATATGAGCTGTACTACTGCAAGGGGTACAGACCAGATTTTTCAGTTGAGCATATTCTCCCAAGGATGAACCATCTAAAAGAGTAAATGTGAAGTTTACCAAAGAGAGTCAAAGAACTCTGACAAACTGGACCTTCAATTACTTTCCTGATACTTTGAATGATAACTATTTTTGTTCAATGCCTGTTACCTTGGCCCCAAACCATAAAGACTCTTTTATCACATTCTCACCAGCCTCCAATGTATTATTCTTTGCGAATACAGTTTTAAACATACTAAAGATTTGTTAAAAAAATTTTTACAAAGCATTAGTAACTTTAAGGTACCACCAAATTCAGTGATTTGAAAGGGATTATAGTCTGCTTTAATTTACTCACAGTTTATCAGTACCTTTTCATTATCACGGTTGTATTTACTTGTTGGTGATGTTGGTATAGAAAGATCAGTTTCATCACCTACTGCATACTGTTTGCCAGACAGAAAATCCAGTAGTTGACTCTGTAGAAAACATAGAGTATTACTAATAAAATGCTATGCTGACTATAAAAAATACTTCACATAAAGCTCTACTCAGTGTCATTGATGTTTCAGTTGAGAGTATTACCTGACAGTTGTTAGCAATCATTAAGAATACATATAATTAAACTTCATAATGTAATTGCCCATGGGTTCTTCCTGTGTGCTACACAAATAAAGACCACATAACTGCAGTAAAGAAAGAGTTTAGGGTCAGGTACCGTGGCTCACACCTGTAATCCTCACTTTGTGTGGCCAAAGCAGGTGGATTGCTGGAGCCCGGGAGTTCAAGACCAGCCTGGGCAACACAACGAAACTCTGTCTCTGCGAAAGATGCAAAACATTAGCTGGGCATGGTGGCATGTGCCTGTAGTCCCAGCTGCTCAAGAGGCTCAGGTGGGATGATCACTTGAGCCCAGGAAGGCTGCAGTGAGCTGCGACTACACCACTGCACTCCAACCTGGGCGCCAGAGTGATACCCTGTCTCAAAAAAGAGTTTAATAGGCACAAGGCTGGCCATGCCACGTGGGAGACAGGTAGTATTCAAACCAATCTCATCCAAAACTCATAGGTTAGGGGGTTTTCAAAGGCAATTTGGAAGAAGGAGTGAGGGGTGGCTAGGCTTGCTGCTGATTGGTGGAGGCAGAGATGATATCATAGGGGATCAAAGCTGTCGTCCTGCATGCTGAATTGCTTCTGGGTAGGTCCAGGTGGAACCATGGGTGTCAGACATGCAAAGAACCTGAAAAGATATCTCAAAAGGCCAACCTACAATAACGGTGCTATCTGCTTTTGTTTCAGCTAAGGAAAATACGTCTTATAACAAATATATTTATATCAAATTATTATGTACTTAATTATAGCCTCTTATGCATCTGTTTCTGTTTAACTCCTCTTTTTCCTTTTTTTTTTTTTTTGTTTTACTGTTCTTCTACTTGGAAAATTACTAAGTACTTCATGATTTCTTTACCTAATATTTTTCTTTGTGCTTTAAATATTTATTGTGCTTAATTTTCAAGAAACTAATTTTGGTCTGAATTGATCTACCAAAGGGTTGGGAACCCTTTTTTTTTTAATCGTCATGAAAATGATTTTTAATAAGTATCAGATGAAATTACTCTGAAGTATTTATCTCAATGTTATGCAATTACAAAGGAAAGTCTGCTTTTTTATACTTTCATGTTGTATTTGAAAAAGTAATAACCTTCTCTTATTTTTATCTGATAATTTTATAACCAGATAATAACTGTCACAGGAAAACAGTGAACAACTTGAATTGTCAGCTTACACAGGAGGAACTAGCTCATAAAACTTACAAATGTTTAAACATACTACACAGTAAATAAATTCTTACCACATATGTAGAACATCAATACACGAAATTTATAGTAACCCAGTAACTGCAACTACCAGCCTGCATCTAATCCCTTTTGTGAGTAATTTCATCATTACATCTCTGCTAGAAACCTTAAAAGAAATGTGGGTGCTCCCAGGGAGAACTGGAACCTTGATCTGGAATACTTTCCACCCATCCTGCAGTTTGAGAGTAAATCTTTACACCTGTCTCTTAAAACAGAAGATCCTAGATGGACTTAGACTATATTATGTCCTGTGTTTTTCAATCCAGTCTGAGATTTCGAACAGGGGCTGCCCTTTTTTATTCCACTCTAGCAACAAGCTTTCATCTGCATCCCTGAGAAGACCCAGCCCACCTGCCCAACATCTAGGAAGAGGAGCGAGGAAGCAGCAGAGCAAGGGATGCAGTTGGAAATAAAAGCATTCTTTGGTTTTTAGGAAGAAAAAAGAAAACTTTTTGATAAAGCAGGAGATGCAAATATTTACAAAAATAAAATCTAGCTCTGTATTTGGTAACCATGGTACACAAAAAAAGCATTTCTCTGAGATGCCTGGACTTCGGAGGTTTGCTCCTGGTTTTATATTAAACTGAAGCTCCTTGGGTCCCTGGTTCCTTCTTCTCAGCTTGGACAGTGAGTTGGTGCCAGGTGGCTTCTTCAATGTTCTGAAGCGGGTGGCTTTCCCATTGTCTCACTTGCCGCATGACAGCTGCCAGCTTCTTCAGGTCTCGTCTCTTCTTCTGGACCGTGATGGGAATCCCAGGCAATCTGAAGTTTAGGGACCAGCTCCATGCTAAGAGGGACTCTCCCTTCTGCCGCTCCAGAGTCAATGAGGCTGACACTGGTGGATCTTCCCCAGGAGCCAAGAGATCTGGCCTAGACAGCAGCAAGCTTCCTCTTTCTGAAGGTGGCTGTATAGTTGACCCCTGCCAGGTAGATCAGAAGGTCCTAAAAAGTGTGCAGGCATCAGGGACCCACCCAAAGGACCCCATTCACTGATGTTGATGCATCTCCCAGCAGCCGCAGGCTCCAACTAAGGACCATTTCTGCAGAGGTGCTACATTTTATGAGCTTTCTCAAGGGTGGCCTTCTCATCACAAAGAAGTTAAAGCCAAAAACCTATGCCTTCAGCTGCATTCTTCCGTGGGTAGTTGCAGCACCCTCTGCCATCCCCCCATCCCAGAGAGCCCAGCATCATGAAGCACCCGCGGCACCCCCACCCAGACCCAGGCCCACGCAGGTGCACTGCCTTCTTTTTTGCCAGATCCATAGTTTTATGTTGAGGTGCTATTCTTGAATTTTCCCAAGTACCTAACATTTATACGTATTCAAGTTGCTGTCATTCCCCCCAGTAGCTCTGTTCTGTTACGCACGTGTGTTGCAGCTAACTCATCCTTCTCTGGCTGCTGGAAACCCTTAAATGGTGTGTTGTTTTCTTCATTAGCTTTTTGGGACTCAGATCTGACTGCTGAAGTAGCTTAAGTGATGACAGTTCTACAAGTAATAGAAGTTGAAATTGTATCTATACTTACAGAGCAGCAGTGGACAAACAAACAGGCTACCAGTCATCTGCTGAGGCTAAGGAAGAGTCTTGTGTTCTCCCAAGCCTCACCAACAAGAAGTGAGCCCATCTATTCAGCTACTTCTTGGCTTGAGGGTCAGGGAATATGAGCGTACCTACAGAGGTCATTTGCTGACCTTCCCCCAAAGACGTCCACAGATCTCTGAGGCTAAGCTCTTCTCAGGATTAACCATTTCTGCTCCTCACCCCAGGTCTCTGATCCTGTCTTCCAGATACTTGCTCAGTTCATGAGAAAGCAAGCCCTGTATCAAATCTCTCTACTTAGTCTCCAGTTACAATCTAAGGCCTTGTATGCTCCGAGATGCCCATGGGCCCTGAATCCATTTTCCTTAGGAGAGGAATCGTAAGTAGGGAGTGAAGAGGGAAGGGGCACTGTTTAAGTGACCACATTCCCAAAATTGCCCTGACTTAGCTTTATCTTAATTCCTCATAATCCCTACCTTATTTCAGCTACAACAAATATGAAACAAAGAAACTTTATCAGGATTATGAAAATTCAGGATCATGACATTCAAAACTGTTTGGAATATTCTAATATGTACCTTGAAAGAGACTTTCAGCAAAAATTGGGATTATACTTAGTGCATTTTTGAGAAATCAATCTAGGGATATATTTTCCTGTCTACTTTTTCCCCGCACTGGAAATTTCCCTAGAACAAACAATAGTATCAGAGATTAAGTTGTTGATCTTCCACGGTTAAAATGCAGAACATTTTCTACTTCATGTACTACCATCTTAGCAGCTTCAATTTTACTCCTGATGACACGATGACATTTGGAGAGAGTATCCCACAGAGACAACCTCAAACTTGTACCCTGATATATATCATACTATAACTTAACCCACTCAAATGAGGAAACTTATTAGAGGACTTAGACAAGGGCGAGGAATAGAAGGAAAACAATGCGCCCAAAGACCTCAGGTAGATTATACTGTCACTGGTTTTTAAGATCTTTGTTGTCCTACAATCCAGTACTGATATATGATTAAGCCTCTCTAAATCAACTATGTGAAAAATAGACAAAAATCATCTCTGTAAGCAAGCAAATAAAATATAGCTAAGGAAGAATTTAAAAAGCTATCTTTACAAGTATCCTTACCATAGTGTAGTTGTACATGTGTGCGGATATGTTTTGAGGAAGCTGTAACAAGGCAAAGGTTTTTATGATAGTTCAATGAGGCAAAGACAGCAAGCTGCCTGCCAATATCCATTCTCCCTTTCTTCCCTAGTAATAGAGCTTTTGTTTTTATTCTGGCAAGATATTACCCAGAATAAGATCTATATTCTCCATCCTCCCTTGCAGCTTGTTGTGGCCATGTGACTAACCTTTTGGCAATGACATGAAAGAAAAAGCTATGTACCCTTAAGAGAAAAGCAAAGTGCTGTTCTTCCTTACTAGTTCTTGGTACAAGGAATACCAATATAATGGATATAATGGCTGGAGCTCCAACAGTCATCTTGGACCATAAAATGGTCTAGAGGGTAGGAACCAAGGACTAAAATGGGCGAGCAGAATGATAGAAAAAGTCCAGGTCTCTGATAACCATGGAGCTATCATATCAGTCTTGGTTGCATATCTTTAGACATCTTACATAAAAGAGTTATACTTCTATTTTTCTCTCAATAACTATTGTAGTGGAGGTTTCTATTATAATCGGCTAAAACACTGTTCTCAAGTATTGTATTGAAATATTTATAAAATAATTGATTATCTTACAAAATATAGCAAACATTTTCCTCTAATTCCAGCTTCAGTTATTTATTGCCACTATTTAACTACTACTTTATTGGCACTCAGTAAATGTTCAAATAACTAAAAATATTTCCAACACTTTAAAAATAACTAGATACACCCAAATATATTCTAAAACAGTTTATAAATTCTAACGTAGACAAAACCAAACTGCAAGGGATACTACTCCATTTAATTTTTACATTTATACTCCATTAAAAAAATGCTTGTGCAAAAAAAGAATAGTCTATTATCTCATGTATATTGCATAATACTATTTTCATAAAATAAATGATACCTATATGTAGTAAAATAACATTATTAATCCATAGAAAAAGTCACACCAATCATTTATCCAACATATGCCAAATGAACAGATGCACATTAAATCAAGAAAGTGAATACAAAAGCAATCTTTGACATGATTCAAAAAGAAATCAGGCATTTGGGACTAATTTCTTTGTTAGGGATTTTTGATCTAATAAGAAGCTATCCGTATAGCAACTAAATAACAATAACACAAGTCCAAGAAAATTTACCACAAAATCTTTCTTTCAAGTAATAAGTAGCTTTCAGGTAGCTAAATTTTCCCATTTTTAACATGATTCACAAAGCAAAAACATTACCAAGTTACTATAACTGGTGATACTATAATTCAAAATAAATAGAGCTAAATTTTAATTTGATTAAAATAGAATTGTTTAAAAAATACTTACAGGAGATACTGTGTTATAATTTTCACAATTAGAAGTCAAAGCCCTACATTTTTGATAAACATCAATCAGATCTAACATATTACTGTTCTTCAAGAAATCATCATAAATCTTCCTAACGTCCTCATAATGGTCAGTCACGTCCATGTTTTCAACTGGTAAGTTCAATTTCTCATGGAGCAAGTATTTCCATGTCAATAAAACATCACTGAGAGAGACTGTAAATTCTCCACTGTGCTGAAAAAGATAATGCCAAAAAAAAAAAAAATAAAGTTGGGTACCAGAATATTCAATAACTTATAACTGAGATAAGAAATACAAATTAAATTTTGGTAAAGTCTACATTCAATTTTTGTGGGTTTGAAGAGAACACCCAAGTTGAACTATGAGACAATTTTGGAAACCAGATATAAAAGAAAAAGGTTTTCATGATTTTATAAAATATGAACAACTAAGGCAAGTTTGCACATGATAAAACTGGTAAATACATAGCCGCTGTTACATTTCTTGAAATTCGTCAAATTTCTTCTACCCAAAATGGATGGATGGGTGGGCAGTAAACTATACTTAAGTACTATTGATGGGGGAAAATTTTGATTCTTTTTAGTTCCTTTTCGTTCTTTTGGCGAATCTATTTTTAATCTCGTATTTAAAATTCTCATTGCCATAGTGAATTCCCATATAACACAATATTCCAAGGGTTTAGTCTAAAAATATGGTCATAAAGATTAATTTTTTTTATTTTATTATTATTATACTTTAAGTTTTAGGGTACATGTGCACAATGTGCAGGTTAGTTACATATGTATACATATGCCATGCTGGTGCGCCGCACCCATTAACTCGTCATTTAGCATTAGGTATATCTCCTAATGCTATCCCTCACCCCTCCCCCCACCCCACAAGAGTCCCCAGAGTGTGATGTTCCCCTTCCTGTGTCCATGTGTTCTCATTGTTCAATTCCATCTATGATTGAGAACATGCGGTGTTTGGTTTTTTGTCCTTGCGATAGTTTACTGAGAATGATGATTTCCAATTTCATCCATGTCCCTACAAAGGACATGAACTCATCATTTTTCATGGCTGCATAGTATTCCATGGTGTATATGTGCCACATTTTCTTAATCCAGTCTATCATTGTTGGACATTTGGGTTGGTTCCAAGTCTTTGCTATTGTGAATAGTGCCAGAATAAACATATGTGTGCATGTGTCTTTACAGCAGCATGATTTATAGTCCCTTGGGTATATACCCAGCAATGGGATGGCTGGGTCAAATGGTATTTCTAGTTCTAGATCCGAGGAATAGCCACACTGACTTCCACAATGGTTGAACTAGTTTACAGTCCCACCAACAGTGTAAAAGTGTTCCTATTTTTCCACATCCTCTCCAGCACGTGTTGTATCCTGACTTTTTAATGATTGCCATTCTAACTGGTGTGAGATGGTATCTCATTGTGGTTTTGATTTGCATTTCTCTGATGGCCAGTGACGGTGAGCATTTTTTCATGTGTTTTTTGGCTGCATAAATGTCTTCTTTTGAGAAGTGTCTGTTCATGTCCTTTGCCCACTTTTTGATGGGGTTGTTTGTTTTTTTCTTGCAAATTTGTTTGAGTTCATTGTAGACTCTGGATATTAGCCCTTTGTCAGATGAGTAGGTTGCGGAAATTTTCTCCCATTTTGTAGGTTGCCTGTTCACTCTGACGGTAGTTTCTTTTGCTGTGCAGAAGCTCTTTAGTTTAATTAGATCCCATTTGTCAATTTTGGCTTTTGTTGCCATTGCTTTTGGTGTTTTAGACATGAAGTCCTTGCTCATGCCTATGTCCTGAATGGTAATGCCTAGGTTTTCTTCTAGGGTTTTTATGGTTTTAGGTCTAACGTTTAAGTCTTTAATCCATCTAGAATTAATTTTTATATAAGGTGTAAGGAAGGGATCCAGTTTCAGCTTTCTACATATGGCTAGCCAGTTTTCCCAGCACCATTTATTAAATAGGGAATCCTTTCCCTATTGCTTGTTTTTCTCAGGTTTGTCAAAGATCAGATAGTTGTAGATATGTGGCATTATTTCCGAGGGCTCTGTTCTGTTCCATTGATCTATATCTCTGTTTTGGTACCAGTACCATGCTGTTTTGGTTACTGTAGCCTTGTAGTATAGTTTGAAGTCAGGTAGCGTGATGCCTCCAGCTTTGTTCTTTTGGCTTAGGATTGACTTGGTGATGCGGGTTCTTTTTTGGTTCCATATGAACTTTAAAGTAATTTTTTTCCAATTCTGTGAAGAAAGCCATTGGTGGCTTGATGGGGATGGCATTGAATCTATAAATTACCTTGGGCAGTATGGCCATTTTCACCATATTGATTCTTCCTACCCATGAGCATGGAATGTTCTTCCATTTCTTTGTATCCTCTTTTATTTCATTGAGCAGTGGTTTGTAGTTCTCCTTGAAGAGGTCCTTCACATCCTTTGTAAGTTGGGTTCCTAGGTATTTTATTCTCTTTGAAGCAATAAAATTATGTTTCATTACTATTACTAGGAAAGCAAAACATCAGTGCTAAAACCTTGAGCCATTGCTTCTCGGCCTTTTGGCTAAGATCAAGTGTAAAACCTTGAGCCAGAGATTAATTTTGATTCTTCTCAGCTCATGGACACATGAAACTGTAACAAACAAGTGCTAAAAAGACACAGGTTTCTTTCTATAAGTTGTCAGATGTTAGTAATCAGGCAAAATTATTCTTTTTCTTTCTCTTTTTTGACAGAATTTCTATCTATCCCACGAGAAATAAAACAGATTATAACCTGGCTACAGTGACATATAGTTGCTTAGAGATCCACTAATGTTACCAACATGTTTGCATGCTAATATTTTATCTAACTATAATGCTTTCTTTAAAGTCTTCTTCAACATCTGCATAATAAATTCTCTCAGTGAACAAGTTGAAGGTTTTTTTTATTGATTCCATTCTGCTCCATTAATATTCTAGAAATTAATAATGATGCCTTCCAAAAGCTGCCAGCCCTAATTCAGCAAAAATTAAATTCTAACTACTCCTTTTTAATACACCATGAGTACTAAATATTTTTAAGTATCCAGATATGATTTATGAAATGTAATACATTGCTGTCTTCTATAGTTAAGTTCCTTTAATATTTTAGTAGTTTCCACTAACACCAAGATCTGTCAACTCATTGCATTTGAAGATGGGTGGGTATTCAAGTACAACTATAGTTCACTAGAACTAAACTACAATATAAACTTTACACAACAAAAACAGAAAGAAATCAAGTACTCCTAAATATTATTTTCTATATATTTGACCCTTTTAAATCTACATTTTTATACTTCCTATAATAATTAGCCACTGGTAGTACTTACTATCCACATTTAAGACTAAGTGTCCAAACTGCCTTAAAATAAGCAGCTCTTTACTCATCTATACAAACACAACTAAAAAAATTATCCTCATTGTCCTTAGTGCAGGGGCCTGTTGTGTCATGAAAATGGAAATTAATTCTATTTCATGAAACTAGTTCAATGAATAACCAAAAACAAAAAAATCAGTAACTCTCAAACATTGGATCTATTCTCCAAATGTAGGACATATTTGTAATTTTCCAGCATTGTACCAAAAACTGTACACTTACTCCCCAACCCCACAAAGGTTACACATCAGAAAATTTCCAAATGCTATGTAAATTAAATAAATCCAGTTATTTAGAGTTTTAAAACTAAACTGTTTTATCTCAAAAATTCCTAACACTATTTTTAGTCTGACATCCTTCATGTTTAAAATAAGATTTTGTGTAATGTAAATGCACAACTTATTCTTACCCTTTTGACTATAACTAGTTAAAGTAAAACTATGCAAGCTCTTGATCTTGTGAGAAAAAGTTTTGACTAGATTAACAGTGTTTATACTGGGATTGTAAAAACATTTTAAATCCAAATAAAAATGCACTCCAGATATCAGTTTTCATGATCAGGTGCCCACCATGACAGCATATTCTATTATTCAAACCAGTAACAACTGATTGAGAGAGTCTGTGGTCAAATCAGAAAATATTTTGCTAGGAAAACATGCCAGCTGGCTAATATATGAAGGAAGTTCAAAATGTTCACCACTTTAATTCTCTGATGGACATAAGAAGGATTGTATTGCACAAGAATAAAATGAGAAAATCAAGAGTTACATATTTTCCAGAGCATTCGTACTTTGTACATTATATCATATTTTTCTAATAACTCAAAATTTTAAATAAACTTTACATTTTTAATTGACTAGACATTTTGTTGTCATTAAAGAAAAGATAGGTCTACTTAAGAGCACTAATGGGCTATGTGACCTTGAGTAAGATACTGAAACCCCTGAGTCAGTTTCCTTGGTTATAAAATGAGATTACACAGATTAAATAACACCTGACAAATGATAGGTAATCAAAAATGTCAATTTCCTTTCTCTTCTCCTATTTAAAGTAAAATCATTGTTTTGAGGGGAAAGAGTGGTGATAAAATGCAATACAATTTTAAAAACCTGTTTCTTCTTGTTAGATCACAGTTACATCATTTTCAAATCTGACAGTCAATCACAGGTACTGTAATTGCTTTCCATAAAGGTATAAAATTAATACCTTCATCTGTTTTATGCAATGGAATATTGTAAGTTTCTCAATAAGACAATTTAAGGCAAAAAAAAAATAGCCTCTATTAACACGATTGTCAGTCAGATGCAAACTAAGAAGCTAATTCCAAAGAAAGAAAGCCAAAATATTAGTTGCCTCCTAATGAAGTCATATACATTCGCCATATAATGACGTCAAAAGTCCTCAATGAATCTATAAAGGTTACATTTTTAGGAGGAGGTTCCAAGATGGCCAAATAGGAACAGCTACAGTCTACAGCTCCCAGTATGAGCGACGCAGAAGATGAGTGATTTCTGCATTTCCAACTGAGGTACCGGGTTCATCTCATTGGGGCTTGTCAGACAGTGGGTGCAGCGCACAGAGCATGAGCTGAAGCAGGGCAGGGCATCATCTCACCCGGGAAGCGCAAGGGGTCGGGGAATTCCCTTTCCTAGCCAAGGGAAGCCATGACAGATGGTACCTGGAAAATCGGGACACTCCCACCCTAATACTGTGCTTTTCCAATGGTCTTAGCAAACGGCACACCAGCAGATTATATCCTGCTCCTTGCTAAGAGGGTCCCACGCCCACAAGAGCCTCACTCACTGCTAGCACATTAGTCTGAGATCGAACTGCAAGGCAGCTGGGGGTGGGGGGCGTCTGCCATTGCTGAGGCTTCAGTAGGTAAACAAAGTGGCCTGGAAGCTCAAACTGGGTGGAACCCACCACAGCTCAAGGAGGCCCGCCTGCCTCTGTACACTCCACCTCTGAGGGCGGGGCATAGCTGAACAAAAGGCAGCAGAAACTTCTGCAGACTTAAACATCCTGTCTGGCAGCTTTGAAGAGAGTAGTGGTTCTCCCAGCATGGAGTTTGAGATCTGAGAACGGACAGACTGCCTCCTCAAGTAGGTCCCTGAACACCAAGTAGCCTAAGTGGGAGGCACCTCCCAGTAGGGGCCGACTGACACCTCATACGGCCGGGTGTCCCTCTGAGACGAAACTTCCAGAGGAAGGATCAGGCAGCAACATTTGCCGTTCTGCAATATTTGCTGTTCTGCAGCCTCCACTGGTGATACCCAGGCAAACAGAGTCTGGAGTGGACCTCCAGCAAACTCCAACACACCTGCAGCTGAGGTTCCTGACTGTTAGAAGGAAAACTAACAAACAGAAAGGACATCCACACCAAACCTCATCTGTACGTCACCTTCATCAAAGACCAAAGGTAGATAAAACCACAAAGATGGGGAGAAACCAGAGCAGAAAAGCCAAATATTCTAAAAAGCAGAGTGCCTCTTCTCCTCCAAAGGAATGCAGCTCCTCACCAGCAATGGAACAAAGCTGGACAGAGAATGACTTTGACGAGTTGAGAGAAGAAGACTTCAGACGATTGGTAATAACAAACTTATCTGAGCTAAAGGAGGATGTTTAAACCCATTGCAAAGAAGGTAAAAACTTGAAAAAAGATTAGACGATTAGCTAACTAGAATAAACAGGGTAGAGAATACCTTAAATGACCTGATGGAGCTGAAAACCATGGCACGAGAACTATGAGATGCATGCACAAGCTTCAGTGGCTGATTCATCAAGTGGAAGAAAGGGTATCAGTGATTGAAGATCAAATTAATGAAATGAAGCGAGAAGACAAGTTTAGAGAAAAAAGAGTAAAAAGAAACAAACAAAGCCTCCAAGAAATATGGGACTATATGAAAAGACCAAATTTACATCTGATTGGTGTACCTGAAAGTGACGGGGAGAATGGAACCAAGTTGGAAAACACTCTGCAGGATATTATCCAGGAGAACTTCCCCAACCTAGCAGGGCAGGCCAACATTCAAATTCAGGAAATACAGAGAACTCCACAAAGATACTCCTCGAGAAGACCAACTCCAAGACACATAATTATCAGATTCACCAAAGTTGAACTGAAGGAAAAAATGTTAAGGGCAGCCAGAGAGAAAGGTCAGGTTACTCACAAAGGGAAGCCCATCAGACTAACAGCAGATCTCTCGGCAGAAACGCTACAAGCCAGAAGACAGTGGGGGCCAATATTCAACATTCTTAAAGAAAAGAATTTTCAACCCAGAATTTCATAGCCAGCCAAACTAAGCTTCATAAGTGAAGGAGAAATAAAATCCTTTACAGACAAGCAAATGCTGAGAGATTTTGTCACCACCAGACCTGCCTTACAAGAGCTCCTGAAGGAAGTACTAAACATGGAAAGGAAAAACTGGTACCAGCCACTGCAAAAACATGCCAAATTTTAAAGACCATCAAGGCTAGGAAGAAACTGCATCAACTAACGAGCAAAATAACCCGCTAACATCATAATGACAGGATCAAATTCACACATAACAATATTAAACTCAAATGTAAATGGGCTAAATGCTCCAATTAAAAGACACAGACTGGCAAATTGGATAAAGAGTCAAGACCCATCAGTGTGCTGTATTCAGGAGACCCATCTCACATGCAGAGACACATATAGGCTCAAAATAAAGGGATGGAGGAAGATCTACCAAGCAAATGGAAAACAAAAAAAAAAGCAGGGGTTGCAATCCTAGTCTCTGATAAAACAGACTTTAAACCAACAAAAATCAAAACAGACAAAGAAGGCCATTGCATAATGGTAAAGGGATCAATTCAACAAGAAGAGCTAACTATCCTAAATATATATGCACACAATACAGGAGCACCCAGATTCATATAGCAAGTCCTTAGAGACCTATCAAGAGACTTAGACTCCCACACAGTAATAATGGGAGACTTTAACACCCCACTGTCAACATTAGATAGATCAACAAGACAGAAAGTTAATAAGGATATCCAGGAATTCAACTCAGCTCTGCACCAAGCGGACCTAATAGACATCTACAGAACTCTCCACCCCAAATCAACAGAATATACATTCTTCTCAGCACCACACCGCACTTATTCCAAAATTGACCACTAAGTTGGAAGTAAAGCACTCCTTAGCAAATGTAAAAGAACAGAAATTCTAACAGACTGTCTCTCAGACCACAGTGCAATCAAACTAGAACTCAGGATTAAGAAACTCACTCAAAACCACTCAACTACATGGAAACTGAACAACCTGCTCCTGAATGACTACTGGTACATAACAAAATGAAGGCAGAAATAAAGATGTTCTTTGAAACCAATAAGAACAAAGACACAACACACCAGAATCTCTGGGACACATTTAAAGCAGTGTGTAGAGGGAAATTTATAGCACTAATTGCCCACAAGAGAAAGCAGGAAAGATCTAAAATCGACACCCTAACATCACAATTAAAAGAACTACAGAAGCAAGAGCAAACACATTCAAAAGCTAGCAGAAGGCAAGAAATAGCTAAGATCAGAGCACAACTGAAGGAAATAGAGACACAAAAAACCCTCCAAAAAATCAATGAACCCAGGAGCTGTTTTTTTGAAAGGATCAACAAAATTGATGGACCACTAGTAAGACTAATAAAGAAGAAAAGAGAGAAGAATCAAATAGCCACAATAAAAAACGATAAAGGGGATATCACCACCAATCCCACAGAAATACAAACTATCATCAGACAATACTATAAACACCTCTATGCAAATGAACTAGAAAATCTAGAAGAAATGGATCAATTCCTGGACACATATACCCTCCCAAGACTAAACCAGGAAGAAGTTGAATCCCTGAATAGACCAATAACAGGCTCTGAAATTGAGGCAATAATTAATAGCCTACCAACCAAAAAAATTCCAGGACCAGATGGATTCACAGCTAAATTCTACCAGAGGTACAAAGAGGAGCTGGTACCATTCTTTCTGAAACTATTCCAATTAACAGAAAAAGAGGGAATCATCCCTAACTCATTTTATGAGGCCAGCATCATCCTGATACCAAAGCCTGGCAGAGACACAACAAAAAAAGAGAATTTTAGACCAATATCCCTGATGAACATCCATGCGAAAATCCTCAATAAAATACTGGCAAACTAAATCCAGCAGCACATCTAAAAGCTTATCCACTAAGATCAAGTGGGCTTCATCCCTGGGATGAAAGCCTGGTTCAACATACACAAATCAATAAATGTAGTCCATCATATAAACAGAACCAAAGACAAAAACCACATGATTATCTCAACAGATGCAGAAAAGGCCTTCCACAAAATTCAACAGCCCTTCAGGCTAAAAACTCTCAATAAACTAGGTACTGATGGGAAGTATCTCAAAATAATAAGAGCTAATTATGACAAAGCCACAGCCAATATCATACTGAATGGGCAAAAACTGGAAGCATTCCCTTTGAAAACTTGCACAAGACAGGGATGCCCTCTCTCACCACTCCTAGTCAACATAGTGTTGGAAGTTCTGGCCAGGGCAATCAGGCAGGAGAAAGAAATAAAGGGTATTCATTTAGGAAAAGAAGAAGTCAAATTGTCCCTGTTTGCAGATGACATTATTGTATATTTAGAAAACCCCATCGTCTCAGCCCAAAATCTCCTTAAGCTGATAAGCAACTTCAGCAGTCTCAGGATACAAAATCAATGTGCAAAACTCACAAGCATTCTTATACACCAATCACAGACAGAGAGCCAAATCATGAGTGAACTCTCATTCACAATTGCTACAAAGAGAATAAAATACCTAGGAACCCAACTTACAAGGGATGTGAAGGACCTCTTCAAGGAGAACTACAAACCACTGCTCAATGAAATAAAAGAGGACACAGACAAATGGAAGAACATTCCATGCTCATGGACAGGAAGAATCAATATGGTGAAAATGGCCATACTGTCCAAGGTAATTTATAGATTTAATGCCATCCCCATGAAGCTACCAATGACTTTCTTCACAGAATTGGAAAAAACTACTTTAAAATTCATATGGAACCAAAAAAGAGCCCACATTGCCAAGACAATCCTAAGCAAGAAGAACAAAGCTGGAGGCATCACGCTTCCTGACTTCAAACTATACTACAAGGCTACAGTAACCAAAACAGCATGGTAGTGGTACCAAAACAGAGATATAGATCAATGGAACAGAACAGAGCCCTCAGAAATAATATCACACATCTACAACCATCTGATCTTTGACAAACCTGACAAAAACAAGAAATCGGGAAAAGATTCCCTATTTAATAAATGGTGCTGGGAAAACTGGCTAGCCATATGTAGAAAGCTGAAACTGGATCCCTTCCTTACACCTTATACAAAAATTAATTCAAGATGGATTAAAGACTTGAATGTTAGACCTAAAACCATAAAAACCCTACAAGAAAACCTAGGCAATACCATTCAGGACATAGGCATGAGCAAGGACTTCATGACTAAAACACCAGCCAAAATTGATAAATGGGATCTAACTAAACTAAAGAGCTTCTGCACAGCAAAAGAAACTACCATCAGAGTAAACAGGCAACCTACAGAATGGGAGAAAATTTTTGCAATCTACCCATCTGACAAAGGGCTAATTCCAGAATCTACAAAGAACTTAAAAAAAATTTACAAGAACAAATCAAACAACCCCATCAAAAAGTGCACAAAGGATATGAACAGATACTTCTCAAAAGAAGATATTTATGCACCCAAAAGACACAAGAAAAAATGCTCATCATCACTGGCCATCAGAGAAATGCAAATCAAAACCACGATGAGATACCATCTCACACCAGTTAGAATGGCCATTATTAAAAAGTCAGGAAACAAAAGGTGCTGGAGAGGATGTGGAGAAATAGGAACACTTTTACACTGTTGGTGGGACTGTAAACTAGTTCATTCATTGTGGAAGTCAGTGTGGTGATTCCTCAGGGATCTAGAACTAGAAATACCATTTGACCCAGCCATCCCATTACTGGGTATATACCCAAAGGATTATAAATCATACTGCTACGAAGACACACGCACACGTATGTTTATTGCGACACTATTCACAATAGCAAAGACTTGGAACCAACCCAAATGTCCAAGAATGATAGACTGGATTAAGAAAATATGGCACATATACACCATGGAATACTATGCAGCCATAAAAAAGGATGAGTTCATGTCCTTTGTAGGGACATGGATGAAGCTGGAAACCATCATTCCGAGCAAACTATCTCAAGGACAGAAAACCAAACGCTGCATGATCTGACTCATAGGTGGGAACTGAACAATGAGAACACATGGACACAGGAAGGGGAACATCACAAACTGGGGCCTGTCGTGGGGTGGGGGGAGCGGGGAGGGATAGCATTAGGAGATGTACCTAATGTAAATGACGAGTTAATGGGTGCAGCACACCAACATGGCACATGTGTACATATGTAACAAACCTGCACGTTGTGCACATATACCCTAGAATTAAAAAAAAAAAATCTTTAGCAGTATATAACTGCTAGAGAGGCATTATATAATTCAAGCTAAAAAATTTTCCCCCTCAAAAAACATGCTAAAAACCTAAAACTTAAAGAGTATTTCAATATGTCTTTTCTTTTCTCCCACTTTAACAGTTGAGAAAAAACAAATATGCCATTAGACAGACTAACAACTCTACTAGGTATTCAAAAGTTTTACTGTAGTCAAATTCAGCTGTAAGAATTATACTTTAAGACTCATGTTCTCAAACTTCAGAGAATTAAAAACTTACGTGGTGGTTCACGCCTGTAATTTTAGCACTTTGGGAGGCCGAGGCGGGTGGATCACGAAGTCAGGAGATCGAGACCATCCTGGCTAACATGGTGAAACCCCGTCTCTCCTAAAAATACAAAAAATTAGCTAGGCGTGGTGGTGGGTGCCTGTAGTCCAGCTACTCAGGAGGCTGAGGCAAGAGAATGGCATGAACCCAGGAGGCGGAGTTTACAGTGAGCGGAGATTGTGCCACTGCACTCCAGCCTGGGTGACAGAGTGAGACTCTGTCTCAAAAACAAACAAACAAACAAAAAAAACACAAAACAAAACAAAAACCAAAAGAGAAATCTAAATAGAGCTCAAACACAGGATAAAAAATATACGTCATGGATATATACAACCAACTCTATCTACTTTTAATTACTATATGCTACTCACGAATGCACCCGCAGACATATAGGTATGTTGTTTCATACTGCTTGGAAGTCAGAGCACAGTTGAGGATGCCTAAGCTAACTCTTATGTGGAAAGTTGAAATAAAACTGAACTGCAACCTACCACACCACTACACATGTGCACACACATACAAGAACTGTGAAAATCTCAGTTGCAACTCACCTCTTCTTTCCCACCCAGAGTCTGAACTTTCACACTGAATTAAGTGAATTAGCAAGTAGAAAATTAGCAAGTAGAAAGAGACACTGAGTGACTGCTACGTAAACAAATCCTGAAGAAAAACTGACTTGGATTGAATATTTCAGTATGTGAAAATTCTTACAATGAGGGTTAAATGTTTTTCAGGGTATATTTCACTTAGCTTGTTGAAAAAATCTACTTATTTCTTTAAAAGTAAGTCATAAATAAATGAAAGGAGGTGATTTGAATATAGTCTGATTCCAGAATAACAGCCTCCAATCACTATACAATACTGATTCTGAAAAATTGCCTCAATTCCTCTCTCATTATTTTCCAGTGTATGGTCACCAAGGTTTAACCCTTAGCTAGTCTATTTATTCAATATTCTCATAATCCATCATTTACCTTAGTACTACTTCCTCACACTACCAAAGAAGAATAAATTAAAATAAAAATAGGGTATCTAGCTTAAGTTACTGAGTGAACAATGGCACATGCCAATACGACTAAGAATATGAACGGGAAGGTCAGTTGAAAAAGCAAACAATGTGCTCTATTTTAAAAATTGATGTGGGAGAGACTCCATCTCAAAAAAAAATGATGTGGAAACAGTACAGGGACATCAAGGTAAAGATGATCATACTGGATTTAAGACTCAGTAGAATGGTATCTCACATAAATGCAGGTAGAAGAATGTAAGGGAAATGCATCCAGTGAAAGTAGGTAAAATGGAGAAAAGCTAAAACTTGTAGGTAAAACTAGAAGATACTGAAATAATTAAGATCACTCCACCCCCAAATTATGCCACCTGGTAAAATGAAAATCTAGGCTAAAAGTACTCGAAAAACAGCAGGTGCAAGATGATCACTATGAACTTCCTTCCGTTTCTTCAAAACAGAAGACAAAATTCCCATGTGAAAGATACCCTCTTTATACAAGTAACGGTCTTATCATCAAGGAGTGTAAACTGAGGTCCAGGGAAATCTATACAAACCTTATTAAACTAATCTTTATTTCCTGGCCACTACTCCATCCAATTAAACACCCAAGTTCCTTTGCCTTGTCATTTTTTTTTTTTTTTTTTTTTTTTTGGAGACGGAGTCTCTGTCTCCCAGGCTGGAGTGCAGTGGTGCGATCTCACTGCAAGCTCTGCCTCCCGGGTTCACACCATTCTCCTGCCTCAGCCTCCCAAGTAGCTGGAACTACAGGCGCCTGCCACCACACCCGGCTAATTCTCTTGTATTTTTAGTAAAGATGGGGTTTCACCGTGTTAGCCAGAATGGTGTCGATCTCCTGACCTAGTGATCCACCCACCTTGGCCTCCCAAAGTGCTGGGATTACAGGCGTGAGCCACCATGCCCGGCCCACATTTTCATTTTACTACTCTTTCTCCGATTCAGTATGTAAGTGTTCAACTCTAACTTGTCTTTTGGTCTTCATTTCCTTATACATATTCCTGTGCCATGTAATACTCCTATTAAATTTGTATGATTTTCTCCTGTTGATCTGCCTTATGTCAATTTAATTCTCAGGCCCAGCCAAAAACCCTAAAAGGGTGGAGGTAAAATTTTGCCTCCCTTACAGTACCAACAAAATTTATAACAAAGAGAATATCTAAAATACATATAGAAATATTCCAAATAAGAAAGAGGTCAGACATAGTGGTTCATGCCTGTAATCCCAGCACTTTGGGAGACCGAGGCAGGCAGATCCCTTGGGCCCAGGAGTTCAAGACCAGCCTGGGCAACATGGAGAAACCCTGTCTCTATAAAAAAATAAAAGAATTAGCTGGGCATGGTGGTACGTACCTGTAGTCCCAGCTACTTGGGAGGCTGAGGTAAAAATCACCTAAGCCTGGGGAGGTCGAGGTTGCAGTGAACAATGATTGTGCCACTGCACTCCAGCCTGGGCGACAGAGTGAGAGCCTGTCTCACAGCAAAAACAAGAGACAAAAACAACTCAACAGTAAAATAAGAAAAGGATATGAATAGAAAGTCTATGAGGAGAATACTTACCTACTGGCTTCATAAAATGAGCTGGAAAGTGTTCCCCCTTCTGCATGCTTTTGGAAGAGTTTGAGAAGGATTGGTATTAGTTCTTTAAATGTTTGGTAGAATTCAGCAGTAAAGCCATCAGGTCCTGGGCTTTTCTTTAATAAAAGACTTTTTATTACTGATTCAATGTCCTTATTTCTTATTGGTCTATTCAGAGTTCCTATTTCTTCATGATGTAGTCTTGGTAGATAGTACGTGTCAAGGAATTTATCCATTTCTTCTAGGTTATCCAATTTGTTGGCATACAAATTGTTCATAGTAGTCTTTTATGACCTGTTTTATTTCTGTGGTATTAGTTATAATGTATCCTTTTTCATTTCTTTTTTTTTTTTTTTGAGGCTTCTCTTTTTTCTTACTTTTACCTAAAGGTTTGTTGATTTTGTTTATCTTTTCAAAAAGCCAACTCTTAGCTTCATTGATCTTTGCTATTGTTTTTTTAGTCTCTATTTCATTTATTTCTGCTCTCATCTTTATTATTCTCTTCCTTCTGCTAAGTTTGGGCTTAGTGTGTTCTTTTCCTAGTTTCTTTTGGTGTAATGTTAAGTTTATTAAAGATCTTTTTTTCTTTCAATGTAGGTGTTTATTGCTATAAGCTTTCCTCTTAGAATTGCTTTTGCTCTATCCCATAAGTTGTGGTATGTTGTACTTCCATATTTTTTAAGGTTTTTTTAAATTTCCTTTTAATTTCTTCTTCGAACCGTTGGTTAATTTCCACGTGTTTGTTAATTTTCCAAATTCTTCCTGTTACAGATTTCTAGTTTCATACCACTGTAATCAGAAAAGATACTCAGTATGATTTCAATCTTCTTAAATTTGTTAAGACTTGTTTTGTGGGCTAACATATGATCTATCTTGACGAATGTTCTGTATGCACTAAGAACTCTTCCAAAAAAATGAAAAGGGAATACTTCCAAACTCATTTTATGAAACAACCATGACCCGGATTCCAAAGCCACACTAGGACACTACAAGAAAAAAAAAATTAGAGGACAATATCCATAATGAACACATATGCAAAATTCCTCAACAAAATACTAGGAAACCAAATTAAACAGCACATTAAAAGGATCACTCATGATGATAAAGTCAGATTCATACCAGGGATGGTTCAGCATATGCAAATCTATAAACAAAACATGGCACATAACAGAATGAAGGACAAAACACTATGATCATCTCTAAAGACACAGAAAAAAACATCTGACAAAATTAAATATCCTCTCATTATAATAATTGTCAACACATTAGATATAAAAAAATACTTCAACATGAGAAAGGCCATATATGACAAACTCACAGCTAACATCATACTCAATAGTGAAAAAGTTGAAAGATTTCCCTTTAAGATCAGGAACAAGACAAGGATGCTCACTCTTCCCACTTCTATTCAACATAGTACTAGAAGGTGTAGCCAGAGTGGTTAGGTAAGAAAAAGAAACAAAAGGCATCCAAATTGGAAAGAAATAAGTGAAAATGTTCCTGTTTACAGATAACATGTTCTTATATACAGAAAACCATAAAGACGCCACCAAAAACTGTAAGAATAAACAAATTGTGTAAAGTGGCAAGATACAAAAATCAAAATACAAAAATCAGTATCATTTCAATGCACTAAAAACAATCTGAAAAAGTAATCCAGAAAACAATCCCATTTACAATAGCTATAAAAACAAAAAATTTTTACAAATAAATTTAACCAAGAAGATGAAAGATCTGCACACTGAAAACTATAAAACATGGATAAAAGAAATTAAAGAAGACACAAGTATACGGAAAGTTATCCCATATTGATGAACTGGAAGAATTAATATTGTTAAAATGTCCATATTATCCAAAGCAATATACAGATTCAATGCTATTCCTATCAAAATTCCAGTGCCATTTTTGACAGAAATAGAAAAAACAATTTTAAAATTTATATGGAACTACAACAGACCCCAAACAGCAAAAACAATCTTGAGCAAAATGAACAAAGCTGGAGGCATCACACTACCTAACTTCAAACTATACTACAAAACTATGGTAATCCAAATAGCATAGTACTAGCATAAAAACATACGGATAGACCAGTGGAACAGAATTGAGAACCAAGATATATATCCACAAATTTACAGGCAATTGGTTTTGAAAAAAGATACAAAAAACACCTAATGGGGAAAGAACAGTCTAATCAATAAATGTTGGACAACTGGGTATCTACCTGCAGAAAAATGAAATTAGACCCTTATCCCTTTTACAAAAATCAACTCAAAATGGATTTTTTTCTTTTGAACTTTTAAGTTCAGGGGTATATGTGCAGGTTTGTTACACAGGTAAATTCATGTCATAGGGGTTTGTTGTACAGATTCTTTTTTTTTTTTTTTGAGACAGGGTCTCGCTCTGTCGCTATCCCCCAGACTGGAACGCAATGGCGTGACTTCAGCTTACTGCAACCTCCACCTCCTGGGTTCAAGTGATTCTCCCACCTCAGCCTCTCAAGTAGCTGGGATTACAGGCACATGCCACCATGGCCTGGCTAATTTGTGTATTTTTAGTAGAGATGGGGTTTCACCATGTTGGCCAGGCTGGTCTCAAACTCCCGACCTCAGGCCATCTGCCTGCCTCAGCCTCCCAAAGTGCTGGGATTACAGGCATTAGCCACAGCGCCCAGCTGTACAGATTATTTTGTCACCCCGGTATTAAGCCAAGTGCCCATTAGTTATTCTTCCTGATCCTCTCCCTCCTCCCACCCGTCACCCTTCAGTAGGCCCCAGTACCTGTTATTTCCCTCTATGTGTCCATTTGTTCTCATCATTTAGCTCCCACTTATAAGTGAGAACATGTGGTATCTGGTTTTCTGTTCCTGCATTAGTTTGCTAAGGATAATGGTCTCTAGTTCCTTTTCCTGCAAAGGACATGATCTCGTTCTTTTTTACGGCTGTAGAGTATTCCATGATGTATATGTACCACATTTTCTTTATCCAGTCTATCATTAATGGCCATTTAGGTTGATTCCAAATCTTTGCTTCTGTCAATAGCACTGCAATAAACCTACACATGCATGTGTCTTTATGATAGAATGATTTATATTCCTTTGGATATATACCCAATAATGGGATTGCTGGGTCAAATGGTAGTTCTGTTTTTAGGTCTTCAAGGAATCTCCACACTGCTTTACACAATGGTTGAACTAATTTACACTCCCCCAACAGTGTATAAATGTTCCTTCTTCTCCACAGCCTTGCCAGTACCTCTTTTGTTTTTTCTTTTGAGACAGAGTCTCGCTCCATCACACAGGCTGGAGTGCAGTGGTGTAATCTCAGCTTACTGCAATCTCTGCCTCTCGGGTTCAAGTGATTCTAATGCCTCAGCCTCCCAAGTGGCTGGGAATACAGGTGCATGCCACCACACCCGGCTAATTTTTGTAATTTTAGTAGAGATGGGGTTTCACCATGTTGGCCAGGTTGGTCTCAAAATCCTGACCTCAAGTGATCCACCCACCTTGGCCTCCCAAAGTGCTGGGATTATAGGCGTGAGCCACTGTTACTTTTTGATTTTTTAATTATAGCCATTCTGCTGGTGTGAGATGATATCTTATTGTGGTTTTGACTTGCAATTTTTAATGATCAGTGATGTTGAGCTTTTTTTCATATGCTTGTTGGCCACATGTATGTCTTCTTTTGAAAAGTGTCTGTTCATGTCCTTTACCCACTTCTTTTTTTTAGGTTTTTTTTTTTCTGAGATGGTGTTTCACTCTTGTTGCCTGGGCTGTGGTGCAGTGGTGTGATCTCAGCTCACTGCAACCTCTGCCTCCCAGGTTCAAGTGATTCTCCTGCCTCAGTCTCCCGAGTAGCTGGGATTACAGGCGTCTGCCCCCATGCCCGGCTAATGTTTTGTATTTCTAGTAGAGATGGGGTTTCACCATGTTGCCCAGGCTGGTCTTCAACTCCTGACCTCAAGTGATCCGCCTGCCTCAGCCTCCCAAAGTACTCAGATTACATGAGTAAGCCACCATGCCCAGCTTTTTGCCTACTTCTTAATGGGATTTTTTCTTGTAAATCTGTCTAAGTTCTTTATAGATACTAGATATCAGACCTTTGTCAGATGTATAGTTTGCAAAAATTTTCTCCTATGCTGTAGGTTGTCTGTTTACTCTGTTGATAGTTTTGTTTGCTGTGTAGAAGCTCTCTAGTTTAATTAGATCCCATTTGTCAATTTTTGCTTTTGTTGCAATTGCTTTTGGCATCTTCATCATGAAATCGTTGCCCATGCCTGTGTCCAGAATGGTATTGCCTAGGTTGTCTTCCAGGGTTTTTCCAGTTTTGGGTTTTATATGTAAGTCCCTCATCTTGAGTTGATTTTTGTATGTAGTTTAAGGAAGAGGTCCGGTTTCAATCTTCTGCACATGGTTAGCCAGTTATCCCAGCACTATTTATTGAATAGGGAATCCTTTCCCCATTGCTTGTTTTCATCAGCTTTGTTGAAGATCAGATGGTTGTTGGTGTGTGGTCTTATTTCTGGGCTCTGTATTCTGTTCCATTGGTCTATGTGTCTGTTTTTCTACCAATACCATGCTGTTTTGGTTACTGTAGCCCTTTAATACAGTTTGAAGTCAGGTAGCATGATACCACCTGCTTTCTTCTTTTTGCTTAGGATAGCCTTAGCTATTTGGGGTCTTTTTGGGTTCCATAGGAATTTTAAAAGAGCTTTTTCTAGCTCTGCAAAGAATGTCACTGGAAGTTTGACAGGATTAGCATTAAATATATAAATTGCTTTGGGCAGTAGTCAAGTCTAGAGGCAAATCAGGAATGCAACCTCATTCACAATTGCCATAAAAAGAATAAAATACCTGGAAATACAGTCAACCAGGGAGGTGAAAGATCTCTACAATGAAAACTACAAAACACTGCTCAAAGAAATCAGAGAAGGTACAAACAAATGGAAAAACATTCCAGGCTCATTGGCTAGAAGAATGAATATCAAAATGTATTAAAGGCTTAAATTTAACATTTGAAACTGCAAAAGTCCTAGAAAAAAACAGAGGAAAAACTCCATGACATTGGTCTGGGGAATGGTTTTTTGGACATAAACCCAGAAGCACAGAAAACAAAAGCAAAAATACATGAATGGGATTATATCAAACTAAAAACTTTCTGCACAGCCAAGGAAACAATCAGCAGAGTGAAGAGACAACCTATGGAATGGGAGAAAATATATCCAAATCATGTATCAGATAAAAGGTTAATATCCAAAATATATAAGAAACTCAATAAGAAAACAACCCCATTAAAAAAAAAATGGGCAAAAGAGCAGGATGCAGTGGCGTATGCCCACAGTCTCAATTACTTCAGAGGTTGAGGCAGGAGAATTCTTGAGCCTAGGAGTCCAAGTACAGCCTGGGCAACATATTGAGACTCTGTCTCTAAATAATAAAATGAATTTTAAAAATAATCGTTTTTTAAGAATTGGACAAAGGATCTGAATAGACATTTCCAAAAAGAAGACACACAAATTGCCAAGAGGTATATAAAAAATGCTCAACATTACTAATCATCAGAAAAATGCAAATGGAAACCAAAATAAATTATGACCTGTTAGAATGGCCATTATTGAAAAGATAAAAGTGTTAAAAAAAAATGTGAAGAAAAGGGAATCCTTTGTATACTGTTGGTGGAAATGTAATTAGTATAAGCATTACAGTATGAAAGTTTCTCAAAAAATAAAACTACCATATGATCCTGCAATCCCAATACTGGGTATATATCCAAAGGAAATGAAATCAGTAGTGAAGAGAGATCAGGACTCCTATGGCCATTGCTGCATTGTTCACAATAGCCAAGATATGGAATCAACCTAAGTATCCATCAATGGATGAATGGATAGAAAATGTGGTATATATACACAATGGAATGCTATTCAGCCCCATAAAAGAGAGAAATCCTGTCATTTGTAACAACATGGATGTACCTGGAAAACATTATATTAAGGAAAGTAAGACAGGCATAGAAAGACAAACACCACATAATCTCACTTACAAGTGGTGTGTTAAAAAGTTGAACTTACAGGCCGGGCACGGTGGCTCATGCCTGTAATCCCAGCACTTTGGGAGGCCGAGGTGGGCAGATCACGAGGTCAGGAAATCGAGACCATCCTGGCTAACACGGTGAAACCCCGTCTTTACTAAAAATACAAAAAATTAGCCGGGTGTGGTGGCGGGTGCCTGCAGTCCCAGCTACTAGGGAGGCAGAGGCAGAAAAATGGCGTGAACCCGGGAGGGGGAGCTTGCAGTGAGCTGAGATTGCACCACTGCACTCCAGCATGGGAGACAGAGTGAGACTCCATCAAAAAAACAAAAGAGGTGAACTTATAGAAGTAGAAAGACAATGATGGTTACTAGGGGATGTGGGGACACAGTGGGTGGGGTGGATGGGGAGATACTCATCAAAGTATATACAGTTTCTGTTAGGAGGAATAATTTCAAGAGATCTATTGTACAACATGGTGTTGCTAGTTAATAACACTGTTGTATCCTTGAAAACTGTTCAGAGAATACATTTTAATTGTTATCACCACAAAAATGTTAAGAATGTGAGGTAATGCATATTAATTTGCTCAGTTAAGCCATTTCACAATGTATACATATTTCAAAATATATTGTACATGATAAATAAATACAATTTTTTGTCAATTTAAAAAACTAATTTTTTTTAAAAATTAAGTGATTTGTCTAAGGCCACTCAGTCAAAAGGCTGAATTAGGCTGTGAACCCAAGCCAACTGACTCCCTAGCATTTACTCTTAGCCATAATACAAACTGCTCTGTTTTATTAACAATATATTTTGAATATTTTTCCATGTCAATAAATGTACATGTACCCAAGCTATTTAATTATTGCACACTATTCTACTGGTGGTTTACAATGCTATATAGAACCAACCTCCAGGTCATATACATGTAGAATATTTCTAGTTTATTTCATTATTAAAAATGAATCTACTATGAAAAAGAAAGATACCAAATGATCAAATAAGCATTTAAACAAATTTTTAAACATGGTAGCTGTCCAAAAAAATAAAATGAAATACCATTTTTTAATCTTTTCTAATAAACTCTGACATCTAATATGGAAAGAGGGATAAAAAAATGGCACTCTCTTCCATTGATGACATAAATGTAATTTCTTTTTTTTTTTTCTTTTTTTGAGATAGGTTCTCGTTTTGTTGCCCAGGCTAGAGTGCACTGGAGTGATCTTGGCTCACAGCAAGCCTCAACCTCCCAGACTCAAGTGATCTCACCTCAGTCTCCCAAGTAGCTGAGACTACAGGCACACTCCACCACACCCAGCTAATTTTTGTATTTTTTTGTAGAGACGAGGTTTCGCCATGTTGCCCAGGCTGGTCTTGAACTTCTGGGCTTAAGTGATCTGCCCATCATGGACTCTCAGAGTGCTGCAATTACAGGTATGAGTCAGTGTGTCTAGCCCATAAATGTAAATTCTGACTGCCACGTGTAAGATAAAAATGTGTCTATCATGTAACTACTTAAATAAGGAACCTAAAAAACCTCTTGCTCAGTGCAAACATTTCATTTCAAGGCAAAACTATTCATAACACAAAAGAACTTCAGTCTAAAGATCCACCAATAAATAGAATATGGCAGTCATATTAAAGGAACATGTGAGAGTGATAAAATGAATAAATTAGATTAACTTTTCTGTCTATCACTACCTGAAAAGATCTTGAAAATAATGTTGGATGGAAAAAAACAAGATACAGAAAGAGCTGATACTGTTATAATTTTATTTTATTTATTTATTTTTGAGGTAGAGTCTCGCTCTGTCGGCCAGACTGGAGTGCAGTGCCTCACTGCAACCTCTGCCTCCTGGGTTCAAGTGATAATCCTGCCTCAGCCTCCCGAGTAGCTGGGACTACAGGCGCCTACCACTACGCCCAGCTAATTTTTTAATTTTTAATAGAGACAAGGTTTCACCAAGTTGGCCAGGCTGGACTCGAACTCCTGACCTCATGTGATCTGCCGGCCTCAGTCTCCCAAAGTGATGGGATTACAGGCGTGAGCCACAGCACCCGGCCCCATCTGTTACAACTTTAAAACAGACACACCAACAGTGCAATATGGCTAACTTGATTTGCAGAAAAACTTCCTGG
This sequence comes from Homo sapiens, assembly GCF_000001405.40. Taxonomy (NCBI): domain Eukaryota; kingdom Metazoa; phylum Chordata; class Mammalia; order Primates; family Hominidae; genus Homo; species Homo sapiens. Next base: position 102,126,429 of record NC_000012.12, on the reverse strand, counting down.
TACAGAACACCTAAAACTACAGTAGAAAATAGAAAAACTTTTTTAAAGCATGACTAAATAGTCTATAAAAGAGAAACTACAAAAGGTCAAAAACAAAGAGAAAGTGCCAATATACAAGGGTAAGCAAAAGGTGGGGCTTGTGTTTGTTTCAAGGCATCTACTACTCCCTGGCACTCTAGAACCTAGTTTTTATAAACCCTGAGCGCAAATTTTGAAAGACAAAGGAGAGTCCAAAAAAAAGGTAGAAAGCTGAATCAGGAACCCTTTCTGCTCACCCCGCCACATAAAGCCAAAGCCTTTGAAAGGCAACACTCTTAATATGTCTCCTAGAAAAACAATCTGCCCAGTGGAAGGCATTGGTGAAGAGATTTGCCAATGAAGTGATTCTAGAAGTTATTCCAGTATTGTGCTTATCTCTCTGGGTAATCTTTGCTTTGATTTTTGCCTAATAATTAATTTCTGTTGAGGTAGGGGAGAATAATCATCTAACTTGGCAAAAAATTGAAGGTTCATTCCCTGGAGAGGGTAAAAAAGAGCCTCTAGACCAAAGAGTACAACTGAGGGGCTCAGCTTGATCTCTTTGACGAAGTCAATTATCTGGTGTCTGAGCATCATATTCTTCTTATGGCTATTAGTTTACATGTATTTGTATGATCCTCTACATAATGTCTGCCTTATCTACTAGGTAATATGTTTCATGATGGCAGGAGTCAAGTCTAGTTTTGCTCACCGTTTTAACCCCAACATATATCACAATGCCTGGCTTATAGTAGAAGCTCAAAAATAGAAAAAGAGAAAAAAGTAATTAGTGGAGGGAAGGAGATTAACATTTATTCAGACAGCTGTATTGGCCTTTTTACTGTTCCTGGAACATCCAGGCATAGAGCCACCTCAGGGCCACTACACCTGCTCCTCCCTTTGCCTGCGGTAGTCCCTTCCCATAAAAATCCCCATGGCTAATGCCCTCCCCTGTTTCAAATCTTTGCTCAAATGGTACTTTCCAGGTGAGGCCTTCCCTGACCACCCTATTTCAAATTCCAACAACCCTTTCACCCCAAAATCTGCATATTCCTTAGTCGCATGTTTTATTGTTTTCTGTATGTTTATTATGTACATATTAATAACACTATTATTAATAGCATTTATTATGTCCTAAAAGACTAAATATCTTACAGTACTAGCTATCTCTCCCTAGAAGGTTCACTCCATAAGAAGTGACTTCTTTCATTACTGTATTCCCAATTTTTACAATGATGTCTAACACACAGTAAAAACTCAATATTTGTTCAAAAAATGACTGACTACATAAAATAAAATAACATTTTGTCATTGTTTTCGAGATTCAAAATTTATCTTAACATGCATTGTTTAAAATATGCAAAACTGCCAACTATTCACAGGTAGAAAACACTATCCCTGTTTTAAGATTTTATACTTTTTAATTTTTAAGTGTTAAAATATTCTTCCTTTTTCAAAATGATGATCATAGTATATAGTAACTATTTTTTCTCAATGGCCTTATTTGCAAAAATGAGAAATGGTTAAAATCTGTCAGTGTCTAATAATTTTTTAGAAATTTTACTGTCTATGGAATCTAAAAATCTGGAAACTACTGACATATAAAATTAAAATAACTCATCAGAATGTCATTTCAATATCTAGCCCAACAGACCCATTGAAGCTAATTCTACCCTTCAAAAATCCTCTTCTCTAGTCAAGCCAGTATCTTTGCCAAGTTCATACCATGACTTTGATTCCCCTGAACCCTTCTTCTGAACTGACTTTCCTCATCATACCTCCTCTACAGCCTTCTCTTCCTTTATCTAAAATCTATCTAATATCACAAAGCCTTTCCTTACCACTCTATCCTACATTCATCCTTCTCTCATCTGAACACCTCTAACCCTTAATCTACGGCTTAAATCCAAACGCTAGTTTGGCTCAAGCTACCTAAGTAAGAATCACTTTGTGGAAATTTTTTAAAGGCAGTTTCCAGTATCCCGGTGCAGATTGGAAGAATTTCCAGGATTGGGGTACAAGAGCCAGTAGTTTTTAAAAGTTTAGGGAATGAAAAAAGTCTTATTAAATAAAAATAATTTGACCACAATAATAATAGTTACATGTTTATCCTAAATCTTCCTATTAAACATCAAATATGCATGTCCCGTGTATAACCATACATAAGAGCTTAATTTTGAAATAATTCATTTCAAATTCTATCATAACATTCTGACACAGATACACAGAGGCATTTGTGAAAATGGTGTATTATCACAGAAGGGCACATAATGTAAAGAAATTAATATTCTTAAGCTTAAGTTTATTCAAATGGGCAGCAATGAAATTTTGCTTTAAAAAAACAAGTTAACCCAAATATAGTTTACCAACCTGTTTGTTGTTCTCCGCCATAGAAAGCTGCAATGCCAAGAGCATGGAGTCTGCACCACATAGAGTAGTTCTCTCAGAGTTACAAAGAGCACGCCAATTTTTTCGAAACTCTTTAATCATATCCGAGACAGACTTCTGATTAAACACAGCCATTATCTTAAAGTAGGACAGAATACAAAGTTAAAGTATCTTATGTTAACCTGAAATTAACATTTAACATGTATAGGCAAGCACAGATAGAGAAAAACATATAGTGAATGAGAGGTCATTTCATATTTACCAAGATTGCTTTTAATTAAATTTAGGAAAACAAAATAATACAATTTCTGCGCAATCATATTTCCCTCCCCTTTGGTTTCTTAAGCCAAACCTTCTGAAAGAACAAAATGTAGCCTTCAATTCTGAAAATTCACACAAAAACAGACATGCAAATTTACTGCAAACTTATAATTACAAATATACCTAATTAAAGCTGTATTTAAATATATATATTTGTTTTGAGATAGGTAATAAGTCTGATAAATTGGGAAAAAAAAAAAAAAACCTAAAAAGCCAATTTCCTCCCATCCTACGTTGTCCCAAAAGAGGTGGCCTATTTTTCTACCCTTTTGAATCTGGACCAGGCTTGTGACTTGATTTAACCAATAGAATGTGGCAAGAATGACGCTGTGGGAGTTCTGAGCTTAGGCCTTAAGTGGTGTGTGCAGAAGTACTAATACAATAGGCCTGAATGCTCTCCTTTGAAGCTGGAGTCCAGTTTGGGAGCTTAGATTTCAGGAGTGTTTCCAGTAAGAGTGGTTCACTGTGCTAAACTGTTCATACAAACAATATAGTTTATGCTAAACACTTGCGAGTCTGGAATTTTGGTACATGTCAGACAGTGGATGCCTTTGCATTTAGCCCCCAATAAAAACCCTGGGCATTAAGTCTCTAATAAGCTTCCCTGGTAGACATTTCACATGTGTTGTCACCACCTATTACAACAGGAGGAATTGTGTCCTGTATGACCACTAGAGTATCACCAAGCAGTGTCCCACCCAAACTGCTGATCCACAGAATCAGAAGGAAATGGTTATTTTAAAACCTTAACTTTTGAAATGGTTTGTTACACCGTACTACATAACCAATAAAATAACTAATATTTAGGAGCTAACTTGGTGGAGATACTTTTCAAAAGCTTAATATTGATTACCTCACTCGACTGTCATAAGTGTCCAATAAGACAGGTCTGTTATTATCCTTATTTTACCTAATAACCTCCACGTCACTCAGCTTGTAAGTGGACAAACAGCATAAACTTAATATGTCTAACTCTATAAGCTGTGTTCTTAAAGCATCATGTTAAGTAACTTCTCCTGATGCACACAAAAGCCTTTCAAAATAATTTGAGGTAGTGCCAATGTTTCATATACCCAAGACTATATAAGGCATCCAATTCCTTTCTCTGAGTTTACAGACATGCCTGCTAAAAGTTTTTTTCCTACTTTAAGTACTCAAGTCTCAACATACTCACATGCCCATCATCTTATTTTGGGTATTTTCCTGTACTTATTCCATTTCCTGACTCCTTCTGCTATCCTTTTCTTCTATTTTTATGTGGCATAAACAGAATCCTAGATGTTTACTTTGGTTTGTATAATCAAGAGCAAAGATACATGCCACTTGCAATATAATTAAATTATAGACACAATCTATGATGCAACTTAAAGATACAGGTAGAAGATTAGAGATTAATTATTTACATAAATGCAAATCCTAGTAAATAGCTAAGAATTGTATTTCTCTTCAAAAAATCACCCTCATCTCTTGAAAGAAAAAAGAAAGTGAAGAACTGTCAGCTTCAGTGACATGGTCACTTTGCCTGAAATACATTTTTAGGAGTAAATTACTTACTGGTATTATTTAAAGGTAGTATTATGAGATTTGATTGCTATGAATGAAGACTCACTTGGGAATTAGGCCATTCTGAAATGTGGCTCCACCACTTACTGGCTGCGAGATCTTGGCCAAGTTACATCACCTTTCCCTGCCTCAGCTTCCTCATAATGAAAATGAAAACCCTATCCCATAGGGTTTTATGACAAGTCAACGACATAAACACAAGTAAAGCTTTTAGAACAGTGCCTGGCATGTATAAAAGCACATTAGCTATTATCATGCATTATGAGTTTCTAAGTTGTTTTGAGTTAAAAGTAAAAGAGCATTGCCTGGGCATGGTGGTTCACACTTGTAATCCCAGCACTTTGGGAAGCCGAGGCTCACCTAAGGTTAGGAGTTCGAGACCAACCTGGCCAACATGGTGAAACCCTGTCTACTAAAAATTAGCTGGGTGTGGTGGTGTGTGCCTCTAACCCCAGCTACTTGGGAGGCTGAGACAGGAGAATCGCTTGAACCAGGGAGGCGGAAGTTGCAGTGAGCCAAGATAGCACTACTGCACTCCAGCCTAGGTGACAGAGTGAGACTCTGTCTTAAAAAAAAAAAAAAAAAAAAAAAAAAGAGCATTACTATGGTGACAGAAAACCAAGAGTCTCATTCAGGGATCAGCTAATTTTTTCTAAAGGAACAAACAGTAAATATTTGAGGCATGCACAACTACTCACTTTGACCTTCTAGTGTGAAAATAGCCATGGACATACATAAACAAACAAATGAGTATAGCTGTGCTCCAATAAAACTTTTTTTATGGACACTGAAATTTGAATTTCATGTAATTTTTACACATCACAAAACATTATTCTTTTCATTTTTTCCCCCAACCATATAAACACGTAACACTCCTTCTTAGCTCAGGAGCTGGCTGCACAAAAACAGGCAGCACAGCCAGTTTGCCAACCCCTGGTCTAGTCCCAGCTCTTCCTGTAGCTAGCTGGCTGTGGGAGCCTATGCCATAAGCCTTACACGTGGTTCCTAGGTGGAGGCATCATCACACAGAAATACTTGCCTTCCAGTCCCTTGTGAGAAGTCAATGAGACAATAAATATGCAAGCACTCTGAATGGCAGGCTGCACTATACAAAAAAACAGTAGCCAAAGGCAGCAGCGATAACACTTGTTTTTAAAAAATTGGATTCCAAGTTGCTCTAGAGCAAAAACTGTGAGACAGAAAATTGTCACTGGGCAGGCAGTGTGAAATGGTTGAAAGAACTACACTTCCGAGTCAGATATCACTTCCAGGCTCCCCCTTTATGACCTGTAGTCCTTCGGTATTTAAAATCTCTAATGAGCATAAGTTTCTTCACCTGCAAAACCAGGAAGGGAATTCCTACCTCACAGAATGAGACGTTAGTGAAACAAGTACATAACCCACCTAGTGCCAGGCATTTAGTAGGTGCTCAATTTAAAAATTGCACTCAACATCATTATCAGTGTTCGAGTGCAAGTCCCAAAGGTTCCTTGGGAGGCTGTAACTAATCAGGAGTAGGAGAAAGTTGAGGAATTGGAGTCCGTGTACATAGTGGGACTAGAACCCAGGTTTCCTGCCTAACTAATGGAAGTTAAGCAGGCCTCTACGGGCCTGTCTTCCAAGCTGCAGACGAACCCTCAGGACCTACCAGCTCCATCGCTAGATACTGTGAACTCCGCCTACAGCCCCCAGGCCCAACCAGGCTCGAGCGTCAAGTCACTGCACCATAATACTTCGGTCCCACGGCACTTTGCTACGACCGAGGTATTACAGTGCAAAACACCCTCAAAAGCCACAGCCTGAATCACCACTTAAAAATGCGACAGGGCAGGTAGGGCAGACGCGAGACTTACGTGATTAGGGGTAGACCCGAAGACGTACTCTTCAGTGTGCGGAAGGATCCCCAACGGGATGCCCTCCCGCGGCCGCCGCAGTCGCCGCTGTCGCCGCTGAATACAGTTCAAACCTCGCGGGAGGCCCCGGGAGCCAATCGCTGCGCTCGCCCTCCGACCCGGAAGCAGAGCCACAGCGCGTCGCGGCAGCCCCCAAGGAAGACCAGCCTGCCTCTGGTCGGTTCCTGGCGCTCTGCGGTGCGTATCGAGCTGGGAGCCCGAGAGGCCGGGATGCTTTTCTGCCGGCCGCCCAGCCTTGCCACTCTATTCCCAGGAGTTCTTCCTTCCCACTTCGGGCCCCGGGAGGTGGGAGCGGGGTCTTGAGGAACTCGCCTGGCCCGGGGAGAGGTGTCGGCGCTCATTGCAGAGACTTATCTTGTTCCCTCCCTTCTTCTCTGCCGTTGTAGTTTTACAGGGGCAAGTCCTGTCCAACGTGTACGGTGAGGCCCCGGCCACTGCTTTAATGAGCAGTAGGTGTAGGGACGGAACAATTTCGTGACCTCGAATCTCTTGCACTTCTATACCTCTCTGTCTCCGTGTCCATAACACTTGCTGGTCACCCTTCAAAAGTCTCCAGTCCCTGATGTCCATTCCTAAAGTTACTAGTTTATAAGCGTCTCGAGGTGGGACTCATTCTCAGTACATACTCTTAAGGTGCTTGATATGTTTGTTACTGAGTCCAGCTGTTTTCAGGACAACCCTTGTGTCGAATTTTTTAAAAAACCAAAAACTCTAAAACCCATAATTCTCATGTGGGAATGCTACTTCCAGAATGCACACTAGTCCCTGACAGGTTAAGGTCTTCTGCCTAGTTTTAAGAATATTATTATTTTAATTTTTAAGTTCCGGGATACGTGTGCGGGACGTGCAGGTTTATTACAAAGGTAAAACGTGTGCTATGGTGGTTTGCACACCCATCACCTAGGTATTAAGCTCCACATGCATTAGCTATTTATCCTGATGCTCTCCCTCCGCCCAACCCCCTGAACATTATTTTTATATCACACATTTTGGTACTCCTTAACAACAGATCCTGTATTTTCTATCTGTTTATATTATAGCCCTTTTCACGTTGAGTCATAACTATCCCTAAACTGTGGTCTCCTTCAAGCCAGGAGGCTGTTTTTTTCTTCATTAGCGCTGGTTCTCCACACACAATGAAGTCTTCCAAATCCTGGCCCTGCTTATGAGCTTGGCAAGTTAGTTAACCTACTGAAGCCTCAGTTTCTCCATCTACAAAATGGAGACCAGAGGTAGTACCTGCCTTTAGATTTGTACAGATACCAGATGTGATCATGTCAGTAAAATGCTTAATATGGTACCTACAAATAGTGGTTCATAAAAGTTATTAATTTTTATTAACATTTGCTGTTAAAATGATTCCATCTTCAGATGAAATACTATTTGTTTTAGATAATCTAAACAGAACTTTGCAGTGTTATTGTCTGCTAGAATCACAGATATGGGAAAGAGCTGTGGAGCAAATGTGGAACCATTAATAACTAGATTTAATATTTTTCCTGCAGTTTCTGTCCCTTGATAAGTACTTTAAATGTTTCTTTTGAGCTTTCTGTCTCATTGTAACACCACAACCTTATTTTGATGCATTTGCTGAATGACTAACATATTGACCATTGTAATTGTACCTGTGCTCTAATCCACAGTTTCGTGACCTTGTCCAGTAGAAGGCTATTTAATTTTCACAACTGCTTGAATTTTGACATACAAGATGAAGCAAGATGCCTCAAGAAATGCTGCCTACACTGTGGATTGTGAAGATTATGTGCATGTGGTAGAATTTAATCCCTTTGAGAATGGGGATTCAGGAAACCTAATTGCATATGGTGGCAATAATTATGTGGTCATTGGCACGTGTACGTTTCAGGTTAGTCTACAAAACTGCACCGAATGACAGTGAACATATTTCACTACTAAGAGAACTTACACAAACCAAATCTAAACTTTGAAAGTATATTGAGTTTGAATGTTAAAAAAAAAAAAGATAAGATCCATAGAGAAAGATGTTCCCAGTTATATGTGCCTGAGATTTATGTAAACATTATATAGATAGTGAAAAAGAATGGTATGAGGCTTCACTTTTGCCTCATGATCATTAATGGAATATTCTGATAAGTGAAGGCTATGATTAACTGAACATTGGTATGTACAGGAAAAAAACAATATAAATGAGATCCAATTAATTACGGTTTTTCTACATCCTGCTTTGACATACAAAACCAGCTAATGTTGAGAGCCCAAAAAACAATCTTCCAGGAGATTTTATAGCTTTTATAATATTCAGCTTTCCTATTAGTATGCTGTCATACTTTTTGTGCATCTAATGTATGCAGAATATGGAGTCATATTAATTGAGCAGGCAGTTAAGCATAGCCATTAAGAGCATGAATTCTAGAACTGGAATGCCTACATGTTTACTCCTGCTTTACTTACTTCTTACTAGCTATGAGACCTTGAATAAGATATTTAGCATCTCCTGTAAACATGAGGAAACTAATGCTTGAATTTTAGTATATGTAAATATACTAAATAAAAATTCCAAGAGGGCATCTGACAACATTGTAATCCATATGTATGTTTTAGTTGTCATTGATACGAGCAGTGGTAACACTCTCAGGTTTAATCACCAAAGTAAGATTGCTTTGTGGTGAACATAAACCATGTTTTCCCAGAGGAAAGCTAGTTTTACATGTAAGAGAGACTTGGAACAATGAAGGTTCAACCCTCAGGACTATCTGGTTAATCCTTTGTCTATCAGAGTATTATTATTATTTTTATTTTTTTTTTTCAGACAGAGTTTTGCTTGGTCGCCCAGGCTGGAGGTCAACCTCGGCTCACTATAACCTTCATCTCCCGGGTTCAGTTGATTCTCCTGCCTCAGCCTCCCAAGTAGCTGGGATTACAGGCATGCACCACCACACCCAGCTAATTTTTGTATTTTTAGTAGGGGGTTTCATGATGTTGGCCAGACTGGTCTCGAACTCCTGACCTCAAGTCATTTGCCTACCTCGGCCTCCCAAGTGCTGGGATTACAGGTGTGAGCCACCCTGCCTGGCCTAGCAGAATATTATTAATAGAACCGTATTTCTCAAATTATAATGAGCACGGTAATTTGGAAGTGTCCAATTTTCAAAGATTTAAAATAACTATCACTAAAGTGATAGTTATTATAAATGTTATTTCCTCCTTTACTGAGAAGGCAATTCTGTTTTTGTTTTGTTTTGTTTTGAGACGGAGTCTCGCTCTGTCATCCAGGCTGGAGTGCAGTGGTGCGATCTCTGCTCACTGCAACCTCTGCCTCCCGAGGTCAAGCAATTATCCTGCCTCAGCCTCCTGAGTAGCTCGAATTACAGGCACGTGCCACCATGCCCAGCTAACTTTTTTGTATCTTTAGTAGAGACGGGGTTTCACCATGTTGGTCAGGCTGGTCTTGAACTGACCTCGTGATCCGCCCGCCTCAGCCTCCCAAAGTACTGGGATTACAGGCGTGAGCCACCATGCCCAGCGGCAATTCTGTATCTTACAGTATTCTGACATCAAAAATGCAATTTGGCATTTTATAGCACAATGAATATATAAAGCTTTACAAATTGGAATATAGTCATATTTAAGAGGAAGTGTGAATTGAAAGTTTCAGTTTGTTGCTGTCTGAGTAGAATATGACAGCTCCTAGCCTATTTCGTACTGTCTGTTTGGGTGGGAGTAGAAATTAATAGCTTTTAGACTAAATATGACCCTAGCCTGACTTACATGGACATGGTTTAGGATCATAAAAAGTCATATGATTAAGACAATGTTACGTACTTGAAAAAGACTGAGGAAAAACCATTTCTCTAATGCAAGCCACCAATGTACAAAAGAGTAAAGCAGCCTCCTACAGGTAAAACTAATTTTTACTTCATTACTTTTAAAATTAATAACAACATAGGATTGTATTCGCAAACACTGAAAAATGTTTATCTCATTTATGATTAAGAAATGTTGAGGGAGAAAGTCAGTGGAGAACAAATTAGGAAAAGAGAGGCAAAGATGAGAGAGGGAGAAGTTGGGAGAAAGAAGGAAAATGACTAACATGAGAAAAAAGAACTAGTATAAACATTTGTGTTCTGTTATAGTTTATGGTCACATGTATTGTCTCAGTTACCCTCATACCTGTGAGATTAGCAATGTAGGTCTCGTGCCCAAATTACTAAGGAAAAAATTAGATTTTTATTAATTTGGACAATAGTAAACACAAATTATATTCTGCATCAGACATTGGAAATACAATTAAGTAAGTCCATTTCAAAATAAATTATTGCTTTTCTGTGGAGTTATTTTTTATCTAGCTAAACACTGTTAAACATTACTATTCTGTTGTCCTAGAACCTTCAAGTTCCATTGCACCCAGTTTCATGCCTCTTGTCTTGAGAGAAAACTAAGTAAAGGTAAATTAAGTGGAAAGATTTTCACATTCCTGACAGAAAGATAATCCTTATTTTAAGGCTGTTTAGAAAACGTTGTAGATATAGTGAATTTGAATTTCAATAAAGCATTTTTCAGAATCTCATGTTGTCCCTTTGATTATGATGGACATATGAGCTTCTGAATGATAGTACTGTTAACTGGTGTCGTGTATTTGTCAAATTTTCATTAAGTGCATACTGGGTGCCAAGACATGAAAAAAGCAAGGACCATATCCTTAAGGAAATATTTACATATAAAGCAGTGCAATAAGAAAACTGCTATAAAAACCTTTGTTAAAGGGCAGAGGAGCATGAACATATATGCTTGCCTAAATCAATGTTCTCATCCAAGTTCTACTAGAGGCCTCAATTCACTAATGAAGACCCCTTGAATAGACTTAGAAATCTGGTATGTATTTTACACTTTTTAAAGTGTACACATATCAAATAGAACTAGCCACATTTCACGTGCTTCATAAGGTCCTGTGTGGCTAGTGGCCACCATATCAGACAGCACAGTTCTCTCTGCATCTTCCTCTGTAAATCGACAGTAATCTTTAATATAATAATAATACTCTGTAGTTCTCAGCAGTATATTATGATTCAGAGAAGATAATGTATTTTAATACAAATTTCAGGGTAGTATCTAAATGTTTAAAACTGTGAAAGAGGTATTAGACTCAATGGTAAATGGATTTTATGTTATTTGTCATCTCTATTTGAATGGACAGAGTTGTTGCTTATAATGCTTTCAGGCTGAGGCTGAATCTGCTGCTTAGTGTGTCTTCACCTAGAGGAGATCAGCTATGGCCAGATATTTGTCATCATTAAGTTAGACTGATTTGGTGTGGTTCCAGAGATGGAACGTGGAATAATGAGTAGAATTTACATGGAAACAGATTTTGGCTTAACGTTAAGAACTCTTCTAATAATTAGAGCTATCCCCCAATTGAATAAACTTCCCAAAGAAATAGCTAGTTCCCTGTCACTGGAAGTGTTCAGAGAGGGGTTGTGTAAACTCTTTTTTTCAGATGCTCTCCTAGGGATTCAAGCATTGGGGGGAAAGAATTGAACTAGAGAAACTTCACAGTCTTGACTAACTGAAATTTGTATTTGGCCTTAAATGGGTGTGGTGGGAGGGCCTGCCAGTTTCAAACCCTTATAATAGCCCTTCCATCAACCTGGCTTTGCCCCAACCTCAAATATGCCGAAACCTTGTATAATCATTTGTATTATAGCAAGTTTTCCAAAGTATCTTAATTTCCTGCCTATACAATTCTGCTTATACCCCAAACTAAATCCAAAATAGCATTTGTCTCTGCCTATACCACACACACACACGGGCCTTTTAGTTGGCTCAGTGGCAAACAGTGCTGCCAGGAAAACAGGTTTCACTGGTAAAACAAAAAGCCCAGGCTGTACAGTCCCTGAGATTTCTTTATCCCCATGACCACCCAGTAATTCCATATGTGATTTGGGTAACAAATTAAAGGACTTGATTGTCAACAATATTGTTACAGTAGCAAGATGATGTGTATTTACATGCAAAAACTTCATTTTTAGGAGACTGATTTGTCAAGTTTGGAAAAATAGATGTAATCCAAACTGTGAAGTCAGCTATGATTAGGCTCCTAAACTTATTTTAAAATTGTTTAGTGGCTGCTGTCTTGGCATATCTGGCTGTTAGCTATACAACTATTATACACACAAATTACGAAGTAGTAAAATTTGACAGTGTTTTTCTTTCCTTGATAAGTGTATTTCTTTCATTTGTGGAAAAACTTTTTGCTGTTAACTCTTAAGTTCACCTGAAATTTGAAGTTATTTTCAAAGGGTATCTGAATTATGCAGAGAAAGATGTGTAGTATATTTGTGAAATGACTTTACTGGGATCCCATAGGCTATCCTGGAAAAATCAGTATATCTACTTGGATTTCATTCGAGTATACATTATAAAACTTTGCATTTAGATTCTGGGTGAATGGAATGCTTAGATCAGGCCTTCAAGTAATTCCTATCAATATAGACATACGTATTTCATTAAATATCAAGTTTCACCTGCTGGATTTTTTCCCTGATACTTTATAATACCATACACTTTTATAAAGAAAACTGTAGTTAGCACAGAAGATTCCTTGGACAAATTTGTCGCGAAAATTTGGCCTTCTTTAGTCTCAAACCCAGTTCAGGTATTGATTTAAATAACAGAAGGATGATTTACTTATTTTTAAAATTGCAAAATTTTTTTATCATTTTCTTTTTTACCTTTCCTATGGTGCTGAGCAGTATTTTAATGCTTATAAAAAATGTGTTATCCATAAAGGCATAAAGAGTAATAAGATGGATCCCTGTATACCTGCTGCTTAGTTTAAGAAAAGGAACATTAGCAATTCTTTTGAAGCCCCCTAAGTATCCTTCCCTTACTCATGGTAGGTATTTTGCATGGCAGGATTTTCTTTTTGTTTGTCTGTTTTTTCCTGCTTTCCCCTTAATCGGGCCCTGGATCTATGCAGAAATCTCTGATCTGGCATCCTTCCTTGTGCAGGCACTAGGATTTGTCTCTTCTCTCTTGCAAACTGAAGCTTTAAATCATTGCATGTAGGCAGATACCCTTATAACAGCTGCATACCTTGGTAGTCGTTTGCTTGTCTGTATTTGAATTTTTGCAATGTTGTAATGGGAGAACTTTTCAGGTTATTGTCTCCATTGCCAGCGACAGATGGCTTGACTTTTAAAGTTGATTTTTTTTCTCACCTTCCCGTGAGGATAAACTGAAATCATTTTAGTAGGGCTGAACTGGATAAATAAGCCAACTTTATTAAGCATTTATTCCCAGAATCAAATATCTAAAACTAAATTAGCCAGATTATTTATTACATATTCACTATTCATAAACAATAATAGTTCAGATGAATTATTTGTAGCATCTTACACACATATAATGCCACATGTAACACTACATGAAAATCATTGACACTGATTATAAAGACTTTGAGGTCTTTATAAGGTCCCAAAGTATTTTCCATGTAGTGAGAATGTACAGTGTATTTTTTTAATATTGTCAGTAGATAATCCGGTTCTGGTAATTCATTTACCTAGAATATCTTGATTCTTTAGAGCATTCCATTTTCTTTGTTTTCTTTTTTTATAACGTAGACACAGGTCTCACTGTGTTGCCCAGTCTGGTCTCAGACTCCAGAGCTCAAGCAATCCTTCCACCTCAGCCCCGCAAAGTGTTGGGATTATAGACGTGAGCCAACACGCCTGACCAAGCAGTCCATTTTCATTGAACTTATTATGAAATGCCTCCTAAGATAAAGTAGAACATGTTTACCATTTGTTTCTAGTTGCCTTAGAGAGTTATTTTGTGAGGCTTAGACAACTTTGGATTTTTTTTTAATTCAATGAACTAGTTAAATCTTAATATGTAATTTGCTTTTGAACTTTTCAAAAGCATAAGCATAACCTCCTGATAAATTCATTATAATGAAATACAGAATATTATATTGTTTGTTCTCATTACTTATTAAAACATTTACTGTGTATGCTTAGGAAGAAGAAGCAGACGTTGAAGGCATTCAGTATAAAACACTTCGAACATTTCACCATGGAGTCAGGGTTGATGGCATAGCTTGGAGCCCAGAGACTAGACTTGATTCATTGCCTCCAGTAATCAAGTAAGTTTAACAGTACCAAATGCATTCCTTACTAATGTACTTTGATTGTGTTACATGATTGGAAGTCTGATCATAGATACTTTTTTCTCAATTTCCATTTTCCACAATCCAAGATATTAGATATTTTGATATTTGCTACTACTTAATAATTTAGGCTTATCATCTGAATTTGTGATTTAAATATACAGCCATGACTATGATGCCTTGACCATGTGTTTGAGCCAAACTACAAAACCTTTTACGTGAGATTCATCTGAATCAAGGTCTTTACAGATTGTTCACTGAATTTACAACTTTATTGAAAGTATAACTTAAAATAACTAAATTTGGTTGAGACATTAATGAGCTTTCCTTCCCCACCCATAGGCCAAGATCACATTTTTTTGTCCAACAGTATATAAATCTGTAAGTTCTGGTCCTGGACTTCAGTTTTTGTGAAAGTGTTTAAAAGGAATGATGGTTTTCTGAGAAAAAAATCCTAGCAATGCCTGCTGAAGCCCTCTTTACAGGGGCAAGAATATGTTAGGTTATTTAAGATCTGTTACAAAACACTAGCCTTGCCTTCTACAAATGTCAAATCTAAAAGATGTGTCTTCTTTTAGTAGACAGTACTTAGGAACTAAAAGTTATCAACTATTAAGCTAACTTCGTTTTTTTTAAATTAAGGGATAATTTAGATACTCTGAAATTCTCAGCTCTTAAGGGTATAGTTTGATCAGTTTTGACAAATACGTATATTTGTACAACCCACACCCTATTCATGCACTGTTTCTGTCACCCAAGAAAGTTTCGTCATACTTCTTCCCAGTTAATCATTGTACCCCACTCCCTGCAGAAGCAACCATTGATCTGATTTCTATTACCAGAAATCAGTTTTGCCTATTCTAGAACTTCATATAAGTGGGATCATACAGAATGTCTTTTGTGTCTGGCTTGTTTTTGCAATTTTTCCACATTGTTATGTATACCAGTGCTTTTTAAGTAGTACTCCATTACAGTGTATCAATAGACCATAGTCTGTTTATTCATTCTTCTGTAAATAGGTACCAATACAGTTTCTAGGCTTTAGTTATTATTTTTTGCTGAATACTGCTTTGGGTGGTTATATGATTTAATTTAGGAGTAGAATTGCTGAGTCACAGGGTAGATGTATGTTTAACATTTTAAGAAAATGCCAGTTTCTAAAGTGGTTCTACCATTTTGTCTTTTCCCCAATAATCTAAGGGTGGTCTTCCTACTCTCCAACACTCATTCATTCATTTTGAGACAAGGTCTGGCTCTATTGCCCAGGCTGGAGTACAGTGGCACCATCTCCACTCACTGCAATCTCTGCTTCCCAGGCTCAAGCCGTCTTCCCACCTCAGCCTCCTCCTGAGTAGCTGGGACTATAGGCGCCCATCATCATGCCTGGCTAATTTTGGTATTTTTTGTAGGGACAGGGATTTGCCTGTTGCCCAGGCTGGCCTCAAACTCCTGAGCTCAGGCAATCCATGTGCCTTGGCCTCCCAAAGTGCTGGGATGACAGCATGAGCCACCATACCTGGCCTATTCTCCAATATTTGCTATTGTCAATCTTTCTTTTTTTTTTTTTTATTTTTTTGGTACATGGTCTCACTCTATCTCCCAGGCTGACAGCCAGACCCATAATCACAGCTTACTGCAGCCTCAACCTCCCTTGGCTCAGCCTCAACCCTCCCTCTCACCTCCGCCTCCCAAGTAGCTGGAACTACAGGCATGCACCACCACTCCCGGCTAATTTTTTGTATTTTTTGCAGTGATGGGGTTTCGCCATGTTGCCCAGGCTGGTCTCGAGCACCCAGGCTCGAGCAATTCACCTACCTTGACCTCCCAAAGTGTTAGGATTACAGGCATGAGCCACTGTGCCCAGCCTGTCTTTTTAATTTTAGCCATTCTGGTTGATGCCACAATGACATTTCCATGATGAGTGATAATGCTGACGCTTTTTTGGTATATTTGTTTCTTCTATTAGAAATCTTTGTGTGATTTCTTATAGGTTGTGAAGATGTTGCATGTTTTTTCCTAGAAGCCTTTACCGATATTTAGCTAACTTAATTGAATAATCTACACAATAGCTTTTGTCAGCACACGTAATGTCATTGCCAACAGCTGGTGTGCTGTTGATTTCCTTTTATATTAAAAGAAAGTGGTCACAATATCTAGACCTAAACAAGAACAAGTCTCTTTGATTCTTTAAATTTTTAAAGCTGTGGAAACAGTCTTCTTCCCTTGGTTTTAAGTTTTGTGATACCTCTTTAATCTACATATTCAGCTGTTGTATTCTATGCTTTCCTTGTTGCTTAGTACTTGTTTTCCTGTCCTCTTTTTAGTGAATTTGCTGTGTTTCATCATTTCTGGTTGGTGTTTTTGTTTGGTTGGATTTTTCTTATTTTTTGGTAAACTGTCTCAAGACCTTTTTGGAACTATACAAATTCAGTAACAAATTCAAAAGACATTAGCAGGCCATTAATTTTAGACTATTTTTAGAGCAACCTGAAGGCACAATCTTGTTTTCAAATAAATTATTTTTATTATAAAATAATGAATGCTTAATAAAATTTAGAAAACACAGAAAATAAGGAGAAGAATGCCACCTATACTCCCAATACCCTTTTCATTTTTGTACATAATTGTACATAATTGTGATTATACTATAGTAACTCTCTGTACTTTCTTTACTTTGCTTTTTTATAGTATTCTAAAATAAATAGTAGTCTATCACCATGACTAAGGTATAACTCAGCATCTCTCTTATCATCATTAATTTTTATCTTACATTTAGAAATCCTTCATGATGGCTTATCATTAGCATGTAGTTGCCTTAAATTCTCTTTCTCCCTGCCTTTCTACTCTTTCCATCCCTACTTGCTTTTCTTGCGTAGTGGCTAGAGAATTCATTGTTCATGTTATTTCAGTTCTCTGAGGTTTTCTGGTTCAATTAAAGAAGGACTTAAATATCCCTGAAACAGCAAGGATTCAAAGAAAAGTGGGGCAACACAAGGCTGGCCATAAAGTTTTCTGGGTTTGTTTGTTTGGTTTTATTTAGATCCCAGTAAGATTATTAATTTTCTTTTTAAGTAAGTATTCTTTGATTACTGTAACTCCTCTATTTGCTGACATTTTTACTGAACTTGGCTTCATTTTGCTATTAATACCTCTTTACAAACCCTTTTAGTTGGGATGTTTCTTTTAACAACTTCCAAAATAGCTTTTATCTGTTTTAGAGATGACATTTTGAACAAAGTTTTATGATTTCATTATGCTATAACTGAGGAAATCCGTAGGAGACCCTCAACATGAGTGATATTATTGTGGCAAATTTGTCTAGAGTTTCCTATGAGCAAATAAATAATGAATTCCCAAAATAATAATTGGACAAATTCAAAGGAGAAGAATTAGGTAGAATAAGCTTTGTTTTACAGTTTTTCTTACCCTTTATTTGCATGTATAAAATATAACATACGTGTTTAAACACACATAGAGTATGTATTAGGGTTCTCTAGAAGGACAGAACTAATAGGATAGATGTATATATGAAGGGGAGTTTATTAAGGAGTATTGACTCACACGATCACAAGATGAAGTCCCACAATAAGGCGTCTGCAAGCTGAGGAGCAAGGCAGCCAGTCTGAGTCCCAAAACCTCACAAGTAGGAAAGCCAACATTGCAGCCTTCAATCTGTGGCCTAAGGCCCAAGAGCCCCTGACAAACCACTGGTGTAAGCCTAAGAGTCCAGAAGCTGAAGAACTTGAGTCTGATGTTCAATGGCAGGAAGCATCCAACTACAGGAGAAAGATGAAAGCTGGAAGACTCAGCAAGTCATCTCCTTCCACCTCCATCTGTCTGTTTTTTCTAGTTGTGCTGGCAGCCAGTTGGATCGTGCCCACCCACATTATGGGTGTGTCTTCCTGAGGGTGGGTCTTCCCCTCCCACTCCACTGACTCAGATGTTAATCTCTTGACACCCAGATACACCCAGAAACACCCAGATACACCCAGAACCAGTACTTTGTATCCTTCAATCCAAGCAAGTTGACACTTAATATTAACCATCACAGAGTATATATGTGCATTTTAACATGTTTATTATAAAGTAAACATTCATGAAATCACAGAGGTCAAGAGATAGGACATTACTAACACTTGAGGCTGCCAGTGTGCCCCTCTCCAATCAGCCTTCTTCCTTCCCCTTAAAGGCTATCAGTTTCATGTTTATTAGGATAATCATCTCCTTGCTTTTTTTTATAGTTTTATCAGTTACTGATGCATCCTTAAGCAATATAGCTTAATTTTGCCTGCTTATGAACTTTCTTATGAATATAATAATACTATATGTATTTTTTTGTCCTGCTTTGTTCACTTCACATTATATATATGAGATTCATCCAAGTTTCTACTTGTAGATCTAGTTATTTATTACTATGTAGTATTTCATTGTGAGTCTGTTACAGTTTATGCATTCTATTAATACTATATTTGCAGTTTGGGGTTATGAATGTACTGTTTGAGCATTACTGTGTGTATATATCATAATGTCCATGTGCACACTTGGACCACCCTTAACATACTTGAAACATTTTCCCCCAACAGCCGACACGTATTTCTTCAGTGTTTCTTAGGCCTTTTCTTTCGCCTCCTTTTCCCCTTTTTTTTCCTTGTCTTGTCCACTTGTGAAAGAAGTGTGAAGAATGGTTGGGGAGATAGACTGACAGGACAACCAAAGGGAAGCTGACTAGCCTAGACAGGGGATGTTGAACTAAATTGGGCAAAGTTCTGATATCAAAACTTGGGCATTAGCAACCTATCATACCATGTGTGTGCCAAATGCAGCATAGGAGGGGATTATTTTTTTTCTTAACGTGTTGCCATTGTTACCGAAATACAAGGGGTTGGTCTAGGCCCTGTTGCATACCACACAGAAAGCCAGTGACTAAGACAACAAGTATTGCAAGGGAAGAAGGCTTTATTCAGGTGCTGCAGCTGAGGAGACAGGAGATAAGTCTCAAATCCATCTCACTAACCCACTAAAATTAGGGGTTTATATAGCAGGGAAGAAATGCAACTACATGTGGAAAGACAGGAATTGTGGGGTGTAAGGAACCAGTCATGACAAACGAGGGGTCTGGTGCCTCATTGTGCAGATGCAATGATCTGGTAAGTTTTAGTTCCTTTATGCTATCTGGGAGGCCTGAAGGTCGGTTTCCTGAGAAAGGAACTCAGAGGAGACAAATACAAGTTTTCAGGCTTTAAGATCAGGAGAGTCAATCTCTGTAATTATCTCCAAACCATGAACATTAGTTCTGTGGGGAAGTTGGGCCAGTTTCACCATCAGGACCACAAAGCGGACCTGGTTGGGTTTTGGCTTTCCTTGGTTTTTTTTGCTTTTTGCCAGACCTGTAATGTCCCAAATCAAAGCACCTATTTTTATAATTCATTGTTAATTAAATATAGGTATTTGTTAGGTTAAATGAAAGTAATGATAAGAGTGTACATTTGCATTTTAAAATGAGATTGATAGAGTGCTTTCATTTATTAATACAAAGGGCATTAGAAGTAAACTAATCTAGTCTCCTTTACTTTATTGAGGAGGAAACTGAGCCCTGAGTTTTTAAATGTCATCTTCAAGTTGCATAGCTAAGAAGTAATAAAGGCACCACTAGGCTGACTTGGTTAATCAAATGAAAATGTTGTTAAAATATGGCACATTTTTAGGGGATAACTTGATACTCAACATCTGTTAAGCAATTTAATGAAACAGTCATATATTTGTATACTATTTATGATGGCGTCTTTATTTCCCACTGTTGCCATAACAAACCACCACAAACATGATGACTTAAAACAACAACAGAAATTTATTATCACAGTTTTGGAGGCACATATTCAAAATCAAGTTATCAGTGGGGTTGGTTTATTAGGCTCTGAGGGAGAATCCATTCCATGCCTGTTTTCTAGATTCTGATGGTAGCCAGGAGTCCTTGACTTTCTTTGCCTTGTTGATGCATCACTTCAATCTCTTACCCTTCATATCTCCTCTGTGTTTATCCTTTTTTGTGTTCATTCATTGTTAAATTTTGGGCCCACCCTAGATCCAGGATGATCATCTTAGTATCCTTTAATTTAATCATGTTTGCAAAACCCTATTTTCAAATAAGGCAGCACTCGTAGTTACCAGGGGTTAACACATAGACTTATCTTTTTGAGGACACTTTTTTTTTTTTTTTTTTTTGAGAGGGAGTCCCGCTCTGTCACCCAGGCTGGAGTGCATTGGCGTGATCTCGGCTCACTGCAACCTCCACCTCCCAGGTTCAAGTGATTCTCCCTGCCTCAGCCTCCCGAGTAGCTGGGATTATAGGTGCACATCACCATGCCCAGCTAATTTTTGTGTTTTTAGTAGAGATGGGATTTCGCCGTGTTGACCAGGCTGGTCTCAAACTGACCTCAAGTGATCCACCCACCTTGGCCACCGGAAGTGCTAGGATTACAGGCGGGAGCCACTGTGCCTGGCGTGAGGGCACTTTTCAACCTGCTAAAGATGACACGGAATTCTTGTTGTTGTTGAGACAGGGTTTCGCTCCTGTCACCCAGACTGGAGTGCAATGGCATGATATCAGCTCACTACAACCTCCGCCTCCCGGGCTCAAGAGATTTTCCTACCTCAGTCTCCCAAGTGGCTGGGACTACAGGCACACGCCACTGCACCCGGCTAATTTTTGTATTTTTTTTTTTGTAGAGATGGGGTTTTGCCATGTTACCCAGGCTGGTCTGGAACGCCTGGGCTCAAGTAGTCTGCCCATTTTGGCCTCCCAAAGTGCTGGAATTACAGGCATGAGCCATTGCACCCGGCCATGGCATTCTTGTGCAATGTATAAATATATAGAGGTGCAAAATAAATGCTAATGTAGTGCACAGTATCCCCTTTCATATAAACCCTCACTAGACAACCAACGAAGCCAAAGACTAAAAGCTACAAAACATTGCAGAAAGAAATTAAAGACACAAATAAATAGAAAGACAGCCTGTGTTCATGGATTGAAAGATTTCATAGTGTTAAAGTGTCTGTGCTACCCAAAGCTCTACAAATTCAATGACGTCTTTATCAATCTCTGTGGCACTTTTTACAGAAACAGAAAAGCCATCCTAAAATTCAGATGGAACCTCAAAGGACCCCAAATGACCAAAACAATCTTGAGAAAGCTGAAGTTCTCACACTTCTTTATTTCAAATCGTATCGCAATGCTATACAGTAATCAAAACAGTATGGTACTGGCATAAAGATAAATATGTAGACCAATGGAACAGAGTGGAAAACTTAGGAAAAATACCTTCACATAGCCATCAAATGATCTTTGACAAAGGTTCCAAGGCTACACAATGGGGAAAAGGATAGTCTGTTCAACAAATGGTGTTGAATAAACTGAGTATCATGCAGAATGATAAAATTGGACTTTACACAAATGAGCTCAAAATGGGACCTAAACATAAGACCTGAAACTATAAAACTCCTAAAAGAAAATATCTGAGAGAAGCTTTATGACACCAGATTTGGCAGTTTTTTCTTAGTTTTGATAACAAAAGCACAGGCAACAAAAGCAAAAAATAGACAAATGAGACTAAATCAAACTTTAAAACTAGTACATGGCAAGGGAAGTCAACAGAGTCAAAAGGCAACCCATAGAATGGGGGAAAATATTTGCAACCCATATACCTAACAAGGGATAAATATCCAGAATGTATACAAAAAACTTCTACAACTCAACCACAACAAAATAAATGATCCAATTTAAAAATGATTCAAAAAGACTTAAATGAACATTTCTCCAAAGAAGGTATATGAATGGCCAACAGGCATATAAAAAGATGTTCAACATCCCTAATCATTAAAGAAATACAAATCAAAACCACATGAGAGGTTACCTCACATGTTAGGATTGCCACTACTAGAAAAGCAGAAAATAACAAATGTTGACCCGGGATGTGGAGAAATTGAAACTTTTCTATACTGTTGGTCAGTATGTAGCAATGGTGCAGCTGCTATGAAAAACATTCCAAAGGTTCCTCAGAAAATTAAAAATAGAATTACCTAACTTGCAGTATTATTTTGAATATAAGTGGCAAAAATGGGCATCCTTGTCTTGTTCCTAATCTTAAAAGAGAGACCACCATCTTCTCACCATTAAGAATGATGTTACCTGTGGGCTCGTCATAGATGGCCTATATTGTGATGCGGAACATTTTGTCTATACCTAATTTGTTGAGTTTTTATCAAGAAATGTTGTATTTAGTCACATTCTTTTTCTGCATCTTTTGAGATGATGTGGTTTTTGTCTTTCATTCTGTTAATAAAGTGAACCACATATATTTATTTGCATATGTTGAACATTGTTGCATCCCAGAGATAAGTCCCACTTGATCATGGTGAATGATCTTTTTAATGTACTCTTGAATACAGTTTGCTAGTATTTTGTCAACATAGTACTTGAAGTCCTAGCCAGAGCAATTAGATATGAAAAAGAATTAAAACGCATCCAAATAGGAAAGGAAGAAGTTAAATTGTCTGTTTCCTGATACATGATCTTATATATAGAAAAGCTAAAGACTCCACCAAAAAACTGTTAGAACTGATTAGTGAATTCAGTAAGGTTGCATGATACAAATCAACATTCAAAAATCAGTAACCTTTCTAATATACTAACAATGAACTATCTGAAAAAGAAATTAAGGTAATATGATTTACAAAAGCATCAAAATATCTTGGGAATAAATTTAACTGAGTTGGTAAAAGATCTGTACACAGAAACGATAAAACATTGATGAAAGACATTGAACTTGGCACAAATAATTGGAAAGATATCCTGTGTTCATGGATTGGATGAATTAATATTGTTAAAATGTTCTTACTCCTCAAAGCAATCCACAGATTCAATGCAATGCCTATCTATCAAAACTCCAATGTCATTCTTCACAGAAATAGAAAAATCAATTAAAAAATTTATATGAAATTATAAAACACCCCAGATAGCCAAAGCAATTTTGAGCAAAAAAAAGAACAAACCCGGAGGCATCACACTACCTGATTTCAAAATAAAAGCTATGGTATTCAAGACAGCATGGTACTAACATAAAAAGAGATACCTTGACCAATAGAATAAGATAGAGAGCCCAGAAATAAATTCATGCATTTATGGTCAATCGATTATTTACAAAGGTGCCAAGAACATAAAATGAAGAAAGGACAGTGTCTTCAATGAATGATGTTGCAAAACTGTATTTACACACAGAAGAATGAAATTGAACCGTTATTTCACTCCATATGCAGAATCAACTGAAATTGGATTAAAGACTTAAACTTAAGACCTTAAACTGTAAAATGGCTAGAAGAAAACAGAAAAAGCTTCACAACATTAATCTCCACAACAGTGAATTTTTTGGATCTGACCCTAAAAGCACAGGAAACAAAAGCAAAACTAGACAAGTGGAATTGTATTAAACTAAAGAGCTGCACAGCAAAGGAAACAACAGAGTGAAGATGCAACCTACAGATTGTGAGAAAATATTTGCAAATCATACATCTTGATAAGGGGCTAATATCAACAATATGTAGGGAACTCAAATTACTCAATCACAAGAAAACAGTTATATTTTAAAATGGGCAAAGAACCTGAGTAGACAGACATTTCTTGAAAGAAGACATGCTTTATTCCACTACAACTTTAATTTTGCCTCTGAGAAGACCTTGGACAAAGAATCATTCCCTGGTGGCTTTGATCTGTTTTCTCTAACAACTCTTGACAAATTACTGGAAAGGGGTGTAGTAGCAAAGGTCTACCAACACATCAGGGTCTGTGGATTAAGAGCCTTTAGTTGAGAAAAAATGGCTCACTGTACTCAAACTAAAGAATAAATTTAGATTTGTGTATGATACTCTTTCTACCAAAGAATTGAAAATAAACTTTGTTTTTCAGTATATAAATATAATTTAAATTTTTTTCTCAGCCATTGTCTCACATCCTGAGAATCTAGAAAATTTAGGATTAAAGATAAACTAGTTTAAAAAGTAGTTGTTGGCCAGGCGCAGTGGCTCATGCCTGTAATCCCAGCACTTTGGGAGGCCAAGATGGGCGGATCATCTGAGGTCAGGAGTTCGAGACCAGCCTGGCCAACGTGGTGAAACCCTGTCTCTACTAAAAATACAAAAATTAGCCACGTGTGGTGGTGGGCGCCTGTAATCCCAGCTACTTGGGAGGCTGAGGTAGGAGAATCGTTTGAACCTGGGAGGTGGAGGCTGCAGTGGTATGAAATCATACCACTGCACTCCAGCCTGGGCAACAGAGCAAGTCTGTCTCAAAGGAAAAAAAAAGGAGTGTTTGCTGCTTAGGTTTTGTTTTTTAATTTAATAATCCATTGATTAACTACTGAAAAACATGTTTTAAATGTTTAAAGTATAAATAATACTCCAGCTTTTAGTAGGTATAAATATTATCAGCTTTTATAGTTATAAAAATAGTATCTTACTTCATCTGATTTATTTGGAGGAATAGAAAAAACTAAGGATTATGGATAACAGAAGAGGGCAAAGACTAAGGTAGATGTATAACAATATTTTTAATATGTCTTGGTGACCTGGCTAAAATGAAGATACTTTTTAAAATCCATCCTTTTATGCTTTTAAGAAAACGTTTAAAATTAAATTCAAGTGCTGATTTAGTGTAAAATTCTACACTTTTATTACTGAAGAAGCACATCCAGAATAGACTAACCTTTTGTGTGTTCTCAAAATAAAATAATATGACTCCTACTTTCTGTGATGGCTGTATAATACTTTTTACAGTAGAGCCACAACATTCTTCTTTCCCCCTCCATAAAAAGCATGATTATGAGTTATGATAAAAGCTTCAGTGATCTGAAGGGAAGGATGGGGGGGAGGGGGAGACCTTTCACTTACAAAGGCTAAAAATTGGTATATTTTTGTTTTTTTGCTTCCAGATTTTGTACTTCAGCTGCTGATATGAAAATTAGATTATTTACTTCAGATCTTCAGGATAAAAATGAATATAAGGTATGTTGACAACCATATAAATCTTTAGAGCTTATTTTAAAACGTGTTTGTTTTTTGCTTTTTTAATTGGATTTATTCCAATTTAAAATGGCTTTTTATGGTCATCATTAAAGTATATAATTTAGAGTCTCATTTACTCTACTATAGGTTATAATAACTAGCTTACTATATTATTAAGAACTAAGTTCTTAATGACTGCAGATTATAAATCTGATATCTCTTATTAAATTGAAATATTAGGTAGGAACAACAAATAAGAAAACTAGAAATTTACAGTTGGATATAGTAGGAGTATAATAGACATGACCATTCATAGAGTAAGAGTTGAACTTCATGGGAACAAATGATCAGTACAGCATAGCACAGGCAGAATTCCAAAGCGGTTAAGAGCACAGACACAGAAGCCAGATTCCTTGCATTTAAACTCCAGTGTTATTACTTAGTCGTGGTGTGACCTTGGTTAAGTAACCTAATCTCTTTGTGCTAATATCCTTACCTGTAAAATGTGGGTAATCATAGCAGCTGCCTTATAGGATTATGAGCATTGACTGAGCAAATTCATATAAAACGCTTAGAATAATGTTGATACATAGTAAACGCCGTATGTGTGTTTTCTATTACTATAATAATAACCCTCAGATTGGGTCAAAATTGCATCATGTTTTCTTTTAAGAATGGTATTGCCTTCTTGGCTTTCTAATAAGCCAAAATATGAATATTGTTATAAAACAAAGATAAATTACAAACCTTTCCAATCATTTAGAAAATAGTAAAAATTATGCTGTAAGCTATTTACAGTGGGCTTAATGTACTGTATGGATTGGTTAATTTAAGGCTGTACCAGAAATAACCAAGTATATAAATGGCACATAAAATTTTGACCTATCCAAAGTTAATATGCTAGTTATAATACACATTAAACATTTACGGTTAATTTAGTTTGTCTTGTAGACTGTGACAGAAGCTTTGGAGAATGATTTGGAGGACCTGGGTTTGTTAAAGTTGCTCAGGAATGTTTGACCCAAATCTTTTTGTTTTTTGTTTTTTTTTTAATATTACATTTCTACATAGTGAGCAGTACTATATAGAACTGCTTTAATAACCTCAGAACTGAGATCAAATTTGAGTTTTTGGAAAGAAGGAAGGGTAGAAAGAATGATAACCATTAAAGTAATTATCTGACAGGCCTATTTAGGATTTCAACTATGAAGATTTAGACAGATTGAACTTTATCTGCTCACACAGTCCTCCACTGTGCAACTTCTCATTTGTTGCTTCTGTGTCGAGATTTTTTGTGTTGGTGATAACTATGGGCTTATAACAACTAGCTGTCTTCACTGCTAGCAGTCACATTGAGCATGTAAATGAAGGCATTAGATGGTGAAGTCCATCCTGTGTGTGTTTGTTAAGTAGTGAGTATGCAGAACAGCAGATATAATGTAAAAAGCCTAGAGGTACCCTACCTCGGTACCCCTAAAAAGTTTTCTAGCTCTAATTTTTATTTAGGCTTTATATAATAAGTGAGAAAGGAGGTGATATGAGGACAGGTACAATAAAAATGTGTGTGTGTGTGTGTTTTTGTAAGAAATGCATACTAGAAAAGAAAGACTAAGCTAATAGTGTGTTGAATGATCAATTTTTTTCCCAAGATAAACCTTCTAGAAAAGTGGGTGTATAAATCGTGCTTTAAAAATAGCGGATTGCTTAAGAAATATTTATAGAAAAACAGGCAGTGAAAGCTTTTAAGGCAGTGAAGCAAAAATATTATGTAGGAATATTGTAGGTTATTTTTCTGTTTTCTTGCTAAGCTTTCTGTTTCTCTTTCTGTCAGGTTTTAGAGGGCCATACCGATTTCATTAATGGTTTGGTGTTTGATCCCAAAGAAGGCCAAGAAATTGCAAGTGTGAGTGACGATCACACCTGCAGGTATGTTGCTTATGTTATAACCACATTTTTAAATTGCCATTTTAATGAGAATTACATTTTTAAAATGAGAAAAAAAAATGTGACTTTTACATAAATTCTATAGAGTGTTGTAAAAGAAGCATACCTTATTTGAACTGTAGGTATGGCACAAACATGAGTTTCAAAACCAGTGAGATAGTCCTCATCACCATTAATGAAAACTTCCTTGCCTCCCATGGGTGTCTTTTATCTCTTATTTCAGATTTTCACATTTATGAAATCCAAATCTATATTGGACTGGGCACAGTGCCACATGCCTATAATCTCAGCTCTTTGGGAGACCAAGGTGGGCAGATCACCTGAGGTCAGGAGTTAATGACCAGCCTGACCAACATGGCGAAACTCCATTTCTACTAAACATACAAAAATTAGCCAGGCACGGTAGTGCGCACTTGTGATTCCAGCTACTCGGGGGACTGAGGCAAGGGAATCGCTTGAACCTGGGAGGCTGAGGTTGCAGTGAGTCAAGCTTGTTTCACTGCACTCCAGCCTGGGTGGCATAGCGACACTCCATCTCAAAAAAAAAAAAAACACAAACATATTGGATCAAATTCTTCAATATTGGACAAGATAAGTAGGAGTAAAATGCAGTTGTCAAGTTACTTTACAGATGCTGTATGATAAGTTTGTGTGGAATAATGAACTATGACTCTCATCTGCTACATAAGATTGATGGAAAATTTAGTGTTTTGATAAATTCAGAGGTTTCTGCATAAGGTTTTCTTTAGATACAATACATTTAACTATTATGTTCTTCTACCTCACCCCCTAATTTAGAACAGATGAGGTAGCTATAACATTTTAATAGTGTGTAAAGCTGGAGAATATCACAAATAAAGAACAAGATGAAAAGGAAGAATAGCAGGTGGAAATAAGCTGAGGAGTCAGGAGTGAAATGAGTGCATCAGTCATTGGAAGGGTGTCAGTTGCTTCATTTGCTTTAACGATACTGTGAGGGAGAGAAAAACTGCTGCTCTGCTGTTTTGCATAATGTTTCATAAAACTATGCCAAAATCCTTAGTATTTATTAGTACTTATGTACATATAAAACTATGAAATATGTATGACTTCACATTAGAAGTAAAGCTGCTAGCTACTTTTTAAATTTTTAATCTTCTTAATATAGCTCATCTTTTTAAAGTGATAGAGTCATAGGCCATTATTCTTTATGTACTGCCTGTTAAAATTTTCATGTCAGAGATATGAAAGATTTACATGACATTAAGATTCTAGGGCCCCAGGTACTACAAAACCAAGTTTGTATAGTGACCTGAAGAGTAAATGGAATCGTTTTAAGGTAAAAATTCGGTCACTGGAAATAAATAATGGCATTTCAGCTCTTTAAAACATAGATTTTCCTAATCACAAGCATTTGGAATAATGAAACCTGCAAAGGGGAAAAATGAGTGTCTTTGCAAGCCAAGGAATGGCCTCTGAATAGTGAACGAAAGCCGGAGAGACCTAGGATCACACTCAGTAGTCTATGTTTTTGTTTGTTTGTTTTCTTATGACTCTGAGATTTTTTTTGTAAACTAGCAAAATTCTCTAAAAATTTAGGGGACTGACATAGGGTTGCTAACTTTTTATTTTGTCGAATATAAGACTTAAGTTTACTGCCTTCTACCACTATCATTTTGTAAAAGAAAGGACATTATTACTCTAAAAAGTAGGAAAGGAATAACTAAAGAGTAAGTCTTTTAGTTTAAATAAATTTAATTTTTTAAAAACCTGACTACATTGCCTCTAAGTTTCTCATTTTGCCAGACTGGTTGTTGATATTATTGTTCAACAAATATTTGCTTTCCTTTCACCTTCCCATGAAAGGAGATTTTCCCATCTAATTAGCCCTAGCTTTGTGAATTGTTTAGGCCAATGTAGCATTAACAGGTGTGACACAGCAGAAGCTTCAAATGTTTTGCCTGGCTTGACTTGACCTCCTGTGCTCTGTCATTTGCTATGAGATGAGCATGTCCTAGATAGCTACTGATCCCAGAATGAGAAACACGTGGAGCAGATATGGACCCATATGGCATTATGGAAACAGAGCTTCCCATAGACCCATGTGCAAGAAATTTATGCTTATTTCTGTAAACCACCGAGATTTTCGGGTTGATGCACAACATCAAACTAGGAGTATTTTTAGAATTTACAGCTTAGTTCACCAACCAAAAATAAACAACTCTGATTGGTTATTAAAGCCAAACCTCTTAGGCCAAAACCTAAGCAATATAGGTAAGATTTTTTTAAAAACAGAACGTATATAAAAACAAGTTTAAAATGAGAAAGAGTAGATAGTATCATACACTCTCATAGCAAGGAAAGAAGGAATTCTAAGAGGACATATGTGATAATGTAAGATTCTTACAATATCACATATATATTCTTACATTATCACATATGTGACAAGAGAGTATATCATATGAGCAGTTCTACAATATGTATTCTGTACTGTAAAGAGCAGACCCAGTGCTTACTTAAGAAAATTTAAAATAACCTCAATATTTTGATCTATGCATATTTTCTGATGTTTCACTTTGACATTTCCAAGAAAGACACTATATTATAATCAGCTAGCAGAATTTTGCCCTAGGAACACTATTTTAAAACAATCTGTGACCTGAATAGGTTCATGAAATGTATGTGTTGTATTGAAAATTGCCAAATTCTGAATCAAACAGAATAAAGAGTCGTACTGTGAACAAAGGTACCTCTGATAATACAAAATGTTATTATGGAAGATGATAGATTACATTTTATCTAAGACTCCATCTAATTTTACTATTCTATGATCTGTGCAAGTTTATAAGAAAATTGGGTTCTCATTAAAGTTGGTCTTTATCAGTTCCAACACTGCCTTTCTAACAAACATTTTATAATGCCTACCACACCTTTTTAAATGAAACTCACAGAAAATGTAGCCTTCCAAATATATAAGTACAGAAAATTATTATCGTCCCTTAATTTTATGATATATTCTATAAAAGGAAAACAAAGAGAATAATAATGCATTGTGTATAAGCTCAGATAACAACTACATATGAAGACATAGGTAGTCTTTCTTCTTCTTTACAATGAGTAAGACTGGATATCAGAAAAATAAGATAACATGAAAATGTAAGGCAGAGGCAAGGCAGTCAAGTTGCACAGTTGTAGAGATTTATGAGTTGTGTAGAGTATAATGTAAATAGTGCCATCTGGAGTTCTACAGTGTCATAGCGCTGAGCAGATCTACAGTTTTAGGATAAAAGCTCATGTTAGTAGTAATACAATGAAATTAAATCTCATTAGAGAAATAGGGAAATACAGGTAATCAAAATAGGAATAACATAGCAAGATAAATCATAGGATGTCAAGTTGAAAAAGTAAGATAATATTCTTGCAATATTTTCTGTATGAAAAGTATGACAAGTATATATCTTGATGAAGAAATATGTATCTTTATGAAAAAGGTGCCATTACTGAAACAAAAAGCAAGCGTCTGATAGATGTGTTTAATAAAAGAAATTCCCAAGTAAAGCATGGGGTTGCTAGTCATTCAGCCTTATATTCTACACCATTTTCTTTATGATCCCTCATCATGTCTACCATATGCAGATGCACTCACATGCATATACATGTATATATAAAAATATATGCACACATATATACACAGGTTGATAAAAATACTGATGCTTTATGTGTGTGTTTGTATATGCATATGCACAGAAAAATATAAATACGTTCATAGTTATGACCTAGTGTCATTGAAAGAAGGCTAAAATTATTACAGTATTTGAGAGGTAAAGAAGTGCATATTCATTTAGAAAAAATTATTATCTCCTCCTCCAAAAGAAGGTAAAAGTGTCATTTAAGTATTTAGTGGGTTAAGCTTATTATTTTTTAAAACTCACTAATACAGAACATCTCATTCCCAGTCATTGCCAAATAACAGATGTTCTTGTATATTAGAAACAGTACCATTCTGTAAGAACAAGTCAGATCAACAAGTATTTATTAAACACATTTAGTATACCCAATATTCAGTACTTTGGGGGATACAAAAGAAATACAAGACCTAGTACGCACTGTAACTACAAAGGATATCAGTAGTAAATCCCATCCCTCCTCCTCATCCCTCAATAATCTTTTAAAATATTAGATAAAAGTTTATGGTGAAAGAAAACTGACTTCTAGAAACCAGGGAATTTTTAGTTTAATAAAATATAGGTGTGCATATAATGTGCCATTCACTTTCTCTATAAAACATGAAATATTTGTAGTTGTCATGTTCTAACTGGGATCATTTTTTAAAAGAATGAGAGAAGGGTGGCATATAAAAAATAAAGAATAAGATATTAGAATGTAACCAAATCACTGTATAAAGGAATACTAAATTACCTAAGCTATTCACTAAGCCAGTAATATAGTTGTTTAAAAAATGTTGCAAGAGGAAAAATGATTTTTATCAAATTTGTTCTGTGTACCACATGCAAGCTATGTGTTTTTCATATTACCTTTGTTTATGTACATTTGAAAGTCTTTAAGATCCATAATTAAGATGGAGTGTTCTTCCTCCACCCCCACCCCAATTGAGATCACAAAATATGCAGTATACCTAAAAATAGTCCTTGTGGGAAACAGCAAAAAGGAAACTGAGAGCCTTCTGAAGGTAGGCCAATGAACCATTCTTTGGAAAGTAATCCACGTCTGGGAGTGCATAAACCATGCCCAGGTACAAAGTATAATCAGGATAATTTACATGATTTATTATACTGTTATAGTTAAAATTCAGGAAAAGTTCCCTGCTTGTCTTCTAAAACTCACTCTAATTTTTTCTAACATTTTGAATCAAGATCAGTAATTGCATAGTTCTAACAAGAGCCTTGAGAATGGGGTAAAATGGACACTTTGTGTTGAGCATGGCAATACTTTAGCTCCAGTGATGGAACATAGAGATTCTTTGTCGTTAAAAGAACTCTCCAAAAATTATACTAAAACACATTTATCACTTTTGCAGACATTTTTAAATTCAATGCAGTGAAATAGGGTGTTAATGAAAGACTGTAATAGAGTAGAAGTCAGTAAAGTGAAGAAAACATTTTCTAAAACTTGACATGATCATTTACTGGTAAAATCACTCTCTAGTAGCTGATACTTTGTTCTTTTCTGTATGCCCTTGTAGATGAAATACAAAACAAGTGCTTAATAAAATATATCACCAAATCAGTGACTACAGTAATTTAAGCTTGCTTTATGTGGCCCTCATGTGGTTACAGTAAGTGGATTATAAAATGGGAATCATATCCATAAACAGTTTCCAGATTTTGAAAGACCATTGATGTGAATGATAAAGGAGTACTTTCCCTTATTGATAGCTTTAGTATTCAGCATATAGTCAAATTTTAAGTTGTAAAGTTTATCAAAATTTTTCTTGGAAAAAATGAAATGCTAATATTTCCTGGGTAGTGTTACTGTTGCTTTTGTTAAGGCTTATGTTAGTTAAAGAAAAAGCCCTTCTACTCTGAATTCCTTAAAGATGAAATCATTACACATGGTCTGTTTGAAAACTACCATATGGTATTTCTTTGCAGTTGAGAGTTTAATTTTTGAAGTTTATTTTTAAATGTGACAAAATTTCTCACAATTTCCATCCTTCAAAAATTTATCTGTCTGTATAAGTTAAATGAGATGTTAATAATTCTCCTCTGAGACAGCCTCAGTTTCTTATCTCTGTGATAATAAATGTAGTTTCTGCTCAATTTGTTTACAATTACAAGAAATCAAAATGAAGCAACAGCATACAAATTGATAAAATTTTTATCCTCCCCAAAGCTTCATGAAGATGTATAACAGATTAAATTTTGTGTGGTGTAGTTTATTAGTGTTCTGTATGAAACAGGGTACCTCCTTCCTTCTCTCTCCACCCTCAAAGTACATGCAGTCTTTATTATCAACTCTGATTTTGACATATTATTTTCAGTTATTGAAGAGTAAAATAATAAGCCTGTACAATTATCTCATTTTTGCCCTTTTAATTCTTGCTCTGAAGTCAGTAAAACTTCTAATAATAATCTTTTATCATTAGTACTGCTAGTACATTAAAACTACTACTGCTACAACTACTACTTGCTCAGTAGTCTCAAGTATTAAAAAAAGAATTAATCTAATCTTATTTTCTAAATATATTTGGACACACACACTGAAAGTATCCTGCTATAAAATTCTTCCAACTATCCTGCTATTTTGTTGTCTCCACCTTTAAGGCTTTTGCCTAGCTCTCAAAGTTCTCCATAGTCTCAACCATAAACTGACAAAACTTTATTTACCAACTCTAACCTACCCATACCCACTGTAAAGATTTGTCCATCTAATCTCTAGATTTGGGCTTTCAGTTACATGGTTCCCCACCTCTGAACTCCTTTTGCACTTAAAACCAGATATTTTAGCACTGAATTCTTTTGCAAAATGTTTCACTTTCTAATTGTGTGCTCATTTGCTAAGGAAATACACCACGACTTACCCTTCTTTGAATCATCTATAACCTGATTAACTTAGTAATTGATTAATTGGAACTAAGAGAAAATCCTAGTTTTGCTCTCACAAGCTCAGTGGAAAATATGTTTCTTGTCTAAGAATGTTGAGGGTCCCTTTCCTGTACCAGTGACATTGTAAAGTGCCTGCTAATCCTTATAACTACATCTCTGTATTACTTTGTTCTTTTCTTTCTTACTTAATTAATCAATACACAGATTCATGTGATCTAGTCATGTCTTTTAGAAAGATTGTGGTTCATATTTTTTGCTTTACCAGTTAGGGCCAAATGGATACAGATGTGTCATTTAATGTCATCCATTCTTTCTTTTGTGTTGTCAAAAAACATTTGGTAGTAGAAATTCCCTTCTGCGATGAATTTCCTAGCAAACAATGAGCTGCCAAAAATGTTAAAAATGGAGAATGAACAAATAAACAGAATATTACAGAATATTCCTGTTGAATCCTCGGACAGAACATCTTTCTTTATTAACTGTCCATTTAAAAGACCTTTGAGAATATCTAGGATATCCCCAGTATGCCAACACCCAATTTATGGGACCTTTTTGTTAATTTATTGGGACAATAACATTTAAATACCATATGGTAGGGATACTTAATGTTCTGCTGAAAAGCACTCGGCCTGAAATGAAGCAATAATCATAGCAATAAAATACTAAAAGTAAAATAAGCATAATTCATAATCTTAGATCTGAATAGCTCTCTATCCCATCATCACAGCTAAATCTAAGAGTTCTATTTAGGACCACAATGTCAGGAGAGATGGGGATGTTAATTATAATTATCGTTCAAATTGGATGAAAACTGTCATTTTATTTCACTTGAGGAGTGATGCTTTACTTACCCAGTGCCCTTTGATTTGGTCTGTATTGGCACCTTAATATGTCAGCACATAACTTTCCCATAAAAGCTTTTCCTTTTAAATTTCCCTTGCAAACATTTAAATATGTACTATGTATGTTAATATAGATCCTAGGTTTTGGCCAAGGTAATTAAACCTGATAACATTTATTCTATACTTTTATGCTTTGAGAAATGGTCTATCATCTTTTCATATGCTTAATTATGTGTATTATGAAGGCTGTGGGGTTTTTTTTGTTTTTTGGGTTTTTTTTTTTTTTTTTTTTTTTTTTTTTGAGACGGAGTCTCTCACTCTGTTTCCCGGGCTGGAGTACAGTGGCAAAATCTCAGCTCACTGCAACCTCCGCCTCCCAGATTCAAGCAGTTCTCCTGCCTCAGCCTCCCGAGTAGCTGGGATTACAGGTGCCTAACCACCATGCCCAGCTAATTTTTGTGTTTTTAGTAGAGTCAGGGTTTCACCATATTGGTCAGGCTGGTCTCGAACTCCTGACCTCAGGTGATCCGCCTGCCTCAGCCTCCCAAGGTGTTGGGATTACAGGCGTGAGCCACAGTGCCTGGCCGGCTGTGAGCTTTTAAAGCATTTCTCTTTCTGTGATGCACCACTGTCCTGAAAAGTGTGCTTCTGTGGTTATAACTGACTTTGCAATAGTAATAATTTTGGAAATATTAAAACCTGAATTTTCAAATTTTGAATTTTTTTCTTTTATAGTAGAAATCCTGTTGTCTGACGTGGTCTAGACCAAAAGTTTCTTAGATAACAAAAAGTCAGTAAACTCAGGAAATCATTTTAAAAGAATGCCTACCTGCCTTATTTTAATATACAACCCATGTATATTAAAAACCATTTGCCAGTCTTTTGATATTAGGCCAGTGCTTTTTTTTCTTAGGTTATGAGTCCATTGATTGGCTTGGGACCACTTTTTTGGCATGAACCACAACCAAAATACAATGTCTTCAATGAAAATAACACTTAGAAAAGCAGTCTTAATTCAGAATACTTCTAGATTTTTATTTTTATTATTTAATCTTTTAAAACTGTCACACATACCTAATATGAGTGAGTTTTTTTTCTTTTAGAAACTTAACCTTTAGTTAGTTGGCATTGACTTAGTTTCATTGAAATAGCTTTCACATTCATATTTTGTCAGTTTATGTAATATTATGTAATTACATTAATAAGCATGGGTTTACATCCCATACAACCAGTGGTTTGCTAAGCAAAGAAGCTGTATTCCCTCTTCATACACATGCAACAAATGCACATGTGGGCATATTAGAAAATAGCCTTCTCATTCTTGGCACTTCTATAGGGGGAAAAAAGAAAAATCTGTCAGAGTCAGTTCAGAGAGATTCTACTGTACACTGTGTTTACAACATTTTAAAACTTAGGCACATTTGTCCATACATAGATACTGCAAATAAAACGCAAAAAAAAAAAGAGTTGAGAAATGTACCTTACAAAATAAGAGCACCTGAAAAGCTGTACCTATTACCATTCATATAAATGATTAAGACTGTTTTAGTCAGAAAATGAGAGAAAGTTTTGGCTTTTTCCACTGGTAATTAAATATGAGAGGGGAAAAGGAAATATGAGGTGCAGCCAACTTGGAAAGCTATTTGATGATAACTACCTGCTAAAGTTGAATATATTTGTAAGCTGTGATCCAGCAATTCCATGCCTAGGTATGTACCCAGCAGGTGTGTGTGTGTGTATGTGATCGTATGTGGGTATCTATATTCACTAAAAGACATATGCAAGACGGCTTACAGCAGCATTCTTGGTGACGACCAAAAATTGGAAACAACCTAAATGTCTGTCAGGAGTAGAATGAATATATATGTTGTTGTGTACTGAATTAATTGAAGACCGTATAAGGCATTAAGAAAAAACAAATTGAGGGGCGCCTCTGCCCGGCCACCTCCTCTGGGAAGTGAGGAGCGCCTCTGCCCGGCCGCCTCGTCTGGGAAGTGAGGAGCGCCTCTGCCCGGCTGCCCCGTCTGGGAAGTGAGGAGCGCCTCTGCCCAGCCGCTCATCGTCTGGGATGTGAGGAGCGCCTCTGCCCTGCCGCCCTTCGTCTGGGAGGTGAGGAGTGCCTCTGCCCGGCTGCCCCGTCTAGGAAGTGAGGAGCGCCTCTGCCTGGCCGCCCCGTCTGGGAGGTGAGGAGCGTCTCTGCCTGGCTGCCCCGTCTGGGAAGTGAGGAGCGCCTCTGCCCGGCCGCCCCGTCTGGGAAGTGAGGAGTGCCTCGGAAGTGAGGAACGCCTCTGCCCGGCTGCCCCGTCTGGGATGTGAGGAGTGCCTCTGCCCGGCCGCCACCCAGTCTGGGATGTGAGGAGCGCCTCTGCCCGGCCGCCACCCCGTCTGGGAAGTGAGGAGCGCCTCTGCCTGGCCACTGTGCAATCTTCCAAGTGTGAAGTGACAGCCTTTCTGCAGGTGTACCCAACAGCTCCGAAGAGACAGCGACCATCGAGAACGGGCCATGATGACGATGGCGGTTTTGTCGAAAAGAAAAGGGGGAAATGTGGGGAAAAGAAAGAGAGATCAGATTGTTACTGTGTCTGTGTAGAAAGAAGTAGACATAGGAGACTCCATTTTGTTCTGTACTAAGAAAAATTCTTCTGCCTTGGGATGCTGTTAATCTATAACCTTACCCCCAACCCCGTGCTCTCTGAAACGTGCTGTGTCAACTCAGGGTTAAATGGATTAAGGGTGGTGCAAGATGTGCTTTGTTAAACAGATGCTTGAAGGCAGCATGCTCGTTAAGAGTCATCACCACTCCCTAATCTCAAGTACCCAGGGACACAAACACTGCGGAAGGCCGCAGGGACCTCTGCCTAGGAAAACCAGAGACCTTTGTTCACGTGTTAATCTGCTGACCTTCTCTCCACTATTATCCTATGACCCTGCCACATCCCCCTCTCCGAGAAACACCCAAGAATGTTCAATAAATACTAAAAAAAAAAAAAAAAAAAATTAAAACAAAAACAAAAACAAATTACAACAACATGCAACAAATGGTGGTAAATCTCACAAAACCTAATGATGAGTAAAAGAAGTCAGACCAAGAAAATACGTAACATATGAAAATGGACATCATTTTTATGATGTTCAAAAATAGGCAAAAGTAAGCAATAACATTTGAAGTCAGAATAGTGGGTACCTTTTGTGAGACAGTAAGGAAGTATGAGTAGAAGGGAGCGCAAGACAACTTTTGGAGTCTTGGAAATACTCTGTTTCTTGATTTAGGTGCCATTCTTTTTGAGTGTATTCTCTTTGAATTGTACATTTAAGATTTGTGTATTTTTATTATATATGGTATACTTCAAAAATTTTACCCAAAAAAAAGTGACTATCTCATGTAAGTAATATTAACCAGATGAGCTATATAGTAAAGACACAGAAAAATGAGCTGAGCTCCATAAAAGGATTTGAGAAGGGCTTAATTAAGGAATCTATCAAAAAGGAAAATAAGACTTAACAACTTAAATTGTGCCATCTGTAGCTAATTTAGTTAGGATAACTAGTTTCAGCCCAATTTGTTGTATTTTACATACTTACTACTTGGATTGTGTAACCACTAAGAATTATGAATAAGCATATAATTATAAACCATAAATCATTTTATCCCAATCCCTTGAAAACTAATCTGGATCACCCTCCTCATTTTTAAGTCAGGTTTTTGTTTGTTTGTTAGTTTTCTTAAATGTCAGGTTCTGTTCAGGATAAAATACTGGTTAAAAATTAGGTAAAACTTTGGTTCATTGGACAGGAATACATTTCATTAACTGACCAGTTTTTATTTAATATTTTTATCCATATTTTCTACCTCTTCTGTTTCCTTCATTTGAAAGAAAAAAATCATGAAAATATTTTGGAATGTATTTACTCAATTTATATAATAGCCAACAAAACAAATACATATTAGAATAAGATCAAAAGAATGGAGGTTTTAAACCATCCTCTCATGGGACTTGCTGAATTTTCAAGACAAATTCATACTATTTCAGTAGTGGTTAAAATATATGCTAGCCCAACACTTTATTTTGCAGAAAGCAATAGAGAAGAAATACTTGATCAGTTGCCATAATTAATAATCTAATTCATCGTGGGGAGTGAAACACAGTTGCATAAACCCCTGCTAAATGTGATTTCTCTCTTCAATTAAATTGTAATTGTCTCCCTTGTATAATAAATACAGATGAAAAGTATTGATTTGGCAAGAGAACAGTATGCTTCTAAATTGTTTAATCATTAAGATAATCATTTTGAAAAACATCTGTGTTCATTTGTATGTAACTATGATATTTCAACATTTAGAGACCCAATAATTTCTACAAGGAAGAAGAATATTTGAAGTTATGTGTTTTGGCACAGAATAGTAGCATTGTCCAATACATACTCTACTTTCTTTGAAATAAATTTTTGCCTACACATTGAAAATAAATTCCTCAAATTGGTTAAACCTGTTTGGTTTAACCTCATTGGTTCCCTAATGAGATATGAACTATAAAACCTAGAAGAAAAATTCCAATGAATGAATTCAGTCCTTTTTTTATTGTTGGTTTTTGTTGTTGTTGTTTTGAGACAGGGTCTCTGTCACCCAGGCTGGAGTGCAGAGGTGCAAACGTGGCACATTGTAGCCTCCACCTCCTGTGCTCAAGCAATCCTCCCACGTCAGCCTGCCATTTTAGCCTCCCAAGTAATAGCTGGGGCTACAAGTGTGCATCACTATGCCTGGCCAATTTTTATGTGTTTTGTAGAGACGAAGTTTCACTGTATTTGCCAGGCTGGTCTTGAACTCCTGGGCTCAAGCAATCCTTCTGTCTCAGCCTCCCAAAGTGCTGGGATTACAGGCATGAGCCATGGCACCCAGTCAAGTTCAGTTCTTAAGGATCAGAATTATATGTGCACTTTGCCAGCCTCCCACCGAGTTCTGTCACCGGCTGTACTCTGTGCCATACTCTGTGCCAGTGCAATGTAACAGTGGCTGAGTATGGAGAATGAGCAGTGGGTGAGGGATAGCATTCTCACGACATGGTGCCATGACTGAGATTTCTGAGTCTTGCTCTCCCTCTGCAATGGTAAAGCAATTGAAATGGAGAGCCATGTTGGTGAGTAACCTGGTCCTTGTTACTGTGGATTTGTAACTATTGAGGAAAGTGAGAACAGGAAGAACCAAATGCCTCTTTCAACCCAGCTTTAATCGTCAACCATGGCCAGCTTGGGGAGAGAAAACTGGAAAAGTAAGCCAAATTACAAAAGGTATAAATAGGAAGTAGCCACTGGGTTGGAATCCTAAAGGTAGAAGGAATAAGCAGTATGGAAGATGGCCGTGTTGCTAAATTTACATAACTTCATATTAGCTTCTCTGTATGTTGTTTTGAAAATAAAAATACTCGGCTTGCATGCGTGTGTGTGTTTGTAAGCGCCCCAGTAGTAATTATCGTCAGTTGAAATGACTACTGAAGTAGTCAGACAACCTGATTAGTGACCTAGAAACCTCAAGATTTTGCCCACAAAATAAAGAGTATATAAATAATTTAATTTGATTACCATGTAAAAGTGTTGCTGTGATAGATTAATTAGAGGGAAAATGTGTGTGACTCTTTTGTCCATGATTATGGTAAAATTTAAATTCT
This sequence comes from Homo sapiens, assembly GCF_000001405.40. NCBI lineage: Eukaryota > Metazoa > Chordata > Mammalia > Primates > Hominidae > Homo > Homo sapiens. The sequence continues at coordinate 102,086,037 of NC_000012.12, read as the reverse complement.
TCATCCTACTTTCATATTACTTAAAAGTGGTGTTATAATTTTCTTTAAAAAGATATACATTAAGTACAAATGTCTGTCTTATAATCTGTAGTTAATAGCTTTGAATAAATTCATGGAAATTTAATTTTTTAGTAATGATATATCAAGAACAATTAACATTATACTGTTATTCTTTTATTAGGATTTGGAACTTGGAAGGAGTGCAAACAGCTCATTTTGTTCTTCATTCTCCTGGCATGAGTGTGTGCTGGCATCCTGAGGAGACTTTTAAGGTTATTATTTATAATTTAACTCTCTTATCAAATTGAAAAGACTTATAGAGATATAAGACATCACATACATAGAGGAGGAAGATCAATGATTTTTCCCATCTCAGAGATACTAGTCAGCACAAAGGCATTTGGATTAGTCTAGAAACCTGTACTGTAGAAGTTTCTCTATAATTGTTAAGGTTTTTATTTGACAGCCATCATCCATAAATGGCATTTATTCAAACTACACTTTTCCTGACCTTTAGTGGATTTCAGTGTAAAAACTGGTGTTCCAACAATCTAGTAGCAGTAGGCAGGGATTTTTTTTGTTTTGGTTTTTCTTTTGTTTTTGTTTTTGTTTTTTTTAGACAGGGTCTCACTCTGTCACCCAGGTTGGAGTGCAGTGGTGTGATCTTGGCTCATTGCAGCCTCCGCCTCCCAGGCTCAAGTGATCCTCTCACCTCAGCCTCCTGAGTAGCTGGGACTATAGGCACATGCCACCACACCTGGCTAATTTTTTTGTATTTTTGGTAGGGCTGAGGTTTCGCCATGTTACCCAGGGTGCTCTCAAACTCCTGAGCTCAGATGATCCGCTCATCTCAGCCTCACAAAGTGCTGGGACTACAGGCATGAACCACCATGCCTGGCCCAGTAGGCAGTTTTTTGTTTGTTTGTTTGTTTGTTGTTTGTTTTAAGTTACATCATCCACGCTTGTGAGCCCTACTGTGTGAACAAAAAACATTAGTCGCATAAGGCAAATTTGTCTTAGCTACAGTAGTGTTCAATTCCTATTCAAGATAGAGCTTTCTAAAATACTAAAAATACACTACAAGTTCTTATTATCAACTACCCTTAATGCTGATTCATTGGAAAGTTAGGAGCCATTAAACAAGAATTCTCTCATTTGCCAGTATCTTCTCTTGGTCATCACTGTAGTTATTGTATGTTTCCCTAGAATCTGAGAAGTTACTACAATCATCTTTCTTAAAGTTAACTCTTCATCTGTTCTCTAAAGTTCATGGTAGTTCCTTAGGCTCCCACAGTCCTCTAATGTCTTCATACTTTTTTTTTTTTTTTTGAGACACAGCCTGGCTGTCACCCAGGCTGGAGTGCAATGGCACAATTAACCAACCTTTAATCTGGTAGTTACCAAGCATGGCCCCAAGTTTCATTTCCAGTAACTCTAGCATTCATCATTCACTGCAACCTTCGTATGCCGGGCTCAGGTGATCCTCCCATCTCAGCCTCCCGAGTAGCTGGGACTATAGGCACGCACCACTACACTCGGCTAATTTTTGTATTTTTTGTAGAAACAGTTTCACCATGTTACCCAAGCTGGTTTCAAACTCCTTGTCTCAAGCGATCTGCCCACCTCGGCCTCCCATATTGCTGGGACTACAGTTGTGAGCCACCGTACCGGCCATCTCCATGCTTTTTCTCTGTTGATTCTGTTCTGTCCTCAAGTTTGCATGAGAAGATAAGTTTCGTTAATCATAACAAGCACGTAGTGCTTACATACGCCAGGCCTATAGTCAGCATTTCATGTATGTTAGCTTATTTATTCCTCATGGGAACATGAGATAGGCACTGTGATTATCCCCATTTTACAGATAAGGAAACCAAGGCGCAGAGAAATTAAATAAATTATCCAAGGTCACACAGCTACTAAGTGGAAGAATAGGTATTTGAACATATGCCTCCCAGCTCCATAGGTCTTGCTCTTAAAAATTCCCTTTTTCCACCTCCCCTTTAATTTTAAACTATCTTCATCACACCTTTTATTTCTAAATGTTTGAATCCATCACTTGTACCTTTTAACTTCATTTCGTCTTTTCCCATCCCTTGGTCTAACACCATAATCTCAGTCAGTCTCCACTACTGTCTCACAAGGTACCAGGGATATTTTCAACACATCCCGTGGCCTTTTCCTTCATTCTTATTCTCCAGCCAGTGTTTTACACTGCTGATCACCTCCTTCTTGAAACTGCTAGTTTGATTTTTAAAGCCGCATTATCTGAGTCCTCTTGAGCAACTTTGCGTATATGTTCCCTTTTTCTTTATACTCTGCCAACTTTTCTTTCACCATATATTTGTGAATTGCTTCAAGGGTTAATTGTCACTACACTGTACCCTTTATTGTAATAGGGAATAAAAGAATGAATAAAGTCCTTAGTATACTGATGTATAAGGGAGAAAAAACATGTAAATACAGCAACACAAATAAGTTTTAGAATCAAAAAATCTATTAAGTAGAATGATGACATAAAGAAGGATTAACCAAATCTTCTCGCAGCTTTCACAGAGGAGATAATCCCCAGACTGTATCTAAGTGTGTGCTCTGAACCCTGGGATTTCATGGAAATTTGTTCCAGGCCCATTGAGTCTTTCATCAGTAGAATTATACTCTGCATATGTGCATGAGTGAAATGTTCTAACTTATTAAATTGATAGGTTTATTTCTGAGTCCAGTTCCTAAATTTTGTTTTATGCCTACATTTCTCCCTGAGAGCAGTGAGTCTACTTAAAACACACAGTTTCTACCAAAATGTTAATATCACCATATATAACTACAATAAACTGCTTTTTAAAAACTATGACCTGCATGACAAATGAGAACATTTATTACAACTTCTATCCCAAAACTTACATCTTAATGCTTAATTTCTTGCTGTTATTTTTTATCTCTTTCTTCCATATGCTTTAACTTAATTTGTTTTTTCTCCTACATATCATTAAAATTCCACCTTACCCCATCTCCTTTCTTTTATGATGTTTCCATGACTTCAGAATGTTTGAAAGTCCCTGTTCTAAATCACATAAACTCAGAATCCTAAAATCATCTTTAATTCTTCTTTCCCTATACACAAACTATTCCAGGTCTTTTAATTTTTCCTTCATTTTCACTAACTCTAGCATTCTTCTCTTCATTAAGGTGCATTCTCCCCCTTTCTTTTCTCATGCCTAACTTGCCAAGCCTTAGCTTGTTTCTAAAGTCTTTGGCTCTTTACTCTTTGATTCTTCTTGCCTACTAGACTAAGAGTCTTAGAATATCAGTTTCATCCTATCACTGCTAAACTCAGAAACCTAGAATACAGAGAAGTGGTTAAGAGTGTGGACTCTTGAATTAACTGCCTGGAGTCAGATCCCAGTTTCACCACTTACTAGCTGTGTGATCTCTGACAAGTTACTTAAACTTTCTCTGATTTCACTTCATCTTATAAAATGGATACATAAGATTAAATGTGCTAACGTGTAAAATCCTTTAAAAAGCACATAGTAAGCACTCAGTCAATTTTAGCTGCTGGTCATCGTTGATACTATTATTGCAGCAATAACAAGCCTAATGGCTTTCAGTGCTCTGCCATACGTTTTCAGTCATTTACAGTGCTCTACAGTCGTTTCAGTGCTCTGCAAGCCCAGAATTGTTAGCCTCTTATGCTTGGCCTTGATGAAAATAAGGCAGCTAGAGAAGAAAGATATGAGTTCATGATTACCTATCTCATAGAATTCTTATGAAAATCCCAAGAGATATAAACCATAAAAAAAGCCGTAAGATCAGGAAAACACAAAACAAATGGCTAGAATTTAACAGATAGTAAAATATACAAAAGTCAAGAGACCTCCAAAAACTAAGCTCCCAAATCCAATAAGACTCAATAGGAGCTAGGATTTCAATGCATACTAATAACAGGACCAAGGATTCAGGATGTCACGGGATCAAAGAATTGGGACTGAGGACATCTCAGTCTCTGACCCTAAGAAAAAAGAGGTTAAAGAGTAGCTAAATGTGGCCGGGAGCAGTGGCTCATGCCTGTAATCCCAGCACCTTGGGAGGCCGAGACAGGTGGATCACTTGAGCTCAGTAGTTGGAGACCAGCCTGGGCAACATGGTGAAACCTCATCTCTCATCTCTACTAAAAATGCAAACATTAGCCAGGTGTGGTGCTCGACCGTAGTCCCAGCTACTCTGGAGGCTCAGGTGGGAGGATTGCTCATGCCAGGGAGGTTAAGGGTGCAGTGAGCCCTTCAGCCTGGGCAACAGAATGAGACTCTGTCTCAAAAAAAAAAAAATAGCTAAATGAAATAGGTTTAACAGCCAACATTTGTTGAATGCTTTCTATTTTCCAGGGACTGTACTAAGTACTTGACATGTATTCTCACTTAATCCCCACAAAACACTGCAGAGACAGTAGTAGTATTGTATTTTGTAGATGAGAAAACCAAAGCACCAAAAGTTCAAGCATTTTGCCCAAGGTCACACAGTGACAGATTTGAACTCAATCTGGTTCAAATACGACAATGTTCTGTGCCACTTAAAGTATTTCCACCTTGGAAATTCACAGTGCATAGTATTGTTTATACTTCTGAAAATTCCTAAAGGAAAAATTCCCCCTGTAGCATTTTTAGATTCAGCTACTCCCAAACTTACTTAACTTTTCTACCCTATCTGTTCTTATCACCCAAAAAAAGATTTGTCATAATTGAGCACAGTTATACAGACAGTAAATAACAAAAATCTTTTGTTAGAACTGAGTTTTAATTTGACTTTAACCTATAATAATAGCCAATGTTTTTTGAGTGCCTGCTTTGTGCCAAAACAGTTCTAAGTGCTTTATATTTACTAACTCATACCATTCTCCCAATAGTCCTATCAAGTAGATACTCTTATTAGCCCCTTCTTAGTGATAAGAACCCGAAACACAGAAAGGTAAGCCGTTTGCCCAAGATCTTACAGCTCCTGAAGGCAGAGCTGGGCCCCATCCAGGCAGTCTGGCCATAGAGGCTGCACACCTGCTTACCATGCTTCATTGTTCATTGCCCCTACTACCTTCGGACCAGGCTCAGGTAGACTTAGCCCTTCCGTAGTCCATAAGTTATACCTGAAATTCTCAAGATCTTTCAAGTCACTCTTAAAATATCAAATATTTTTACTAGGTCCTGGTGAATTTTCCTCGATCTCTTACCTTTTCTGATCCTTCCCCACTGCATACTATAGCACACTAGACCACTCACCAGTCTTCAGCAGCCTAGCCTTGTAGCAGGGAACATGTGTGCACTGTAGTTAAACAGACCTGGATTCAAATTCAGGCTCCATCATGGGCTAGGGTTGATACCTTGTACAAGTTACGTGAATCACTTTGAGCCTCAATCTCATCTGAAAAATGGGATTAACGATAGTAATTTCCTCATACAGTGGTTTAGGGGATTAAATAAAGCAGACATGTAAAGCTCTTACCCCAGTGTTATACTTGTTTTTGTTGTGTTTGTCATTGACCTCATTGTACTTATTGTTAGTAGCATTAGTATTATCTTAACATTTGCCTGTTCTTAAAGAATCATTTTTGTTTTCTGTTTGTTTTGTTTTTGAGGCAGGGTCTCACTCTGTGGCCCAGGCTGGATGCAGTGGGACAATCATAATTCACTGCAGTTTCTATTTCCCAGGCTCAAGTGATCCTCCTGCCTCAGCCTCCTGAGTATCTGGGACTACAAGTGCTTGCCACCTCGCCTGGCTAATAAGAATAATTTCAAATTCCACTTCTTCTATTAAGAATACTGTAATTCCAAACAAACATTGTCTATATTCTGAAATAATTCCTTTTTGTACTCTAGAGCATTTTGCCTTAAATTATTGTCTGATTTTTTCATAATTCTCTTTTCTAGATAGAAAGTTTCTTGAGATCAAGGATTATGTCCTTTATCTTTGACTTCTGTTGGAATTAATACAGTGTTTTGTGTATGTATGTATGTATACAGTAGATCTTCATTATTCACAGATTTTGTATTTTTGAATTTCCCTCCTCACTAAACTTTATTTGTAACCCCAAAATCAATGCTCATAGCACTTCTTTAGTCACAGACATACGCAGGGAGCACAGAACAACAAAAAGTTTGAGTCCGCTTATGTGCACTTGCTCACCTAAAATTGAACAAGGTGAACTCTGGCTTCTTATTTTAGCTTTCATACTGTAAATATGTGTCTTTTCCTCGTCAGTTTAGTGCCACATTTTTAACATTTTTGTACTTTTTGTGGGTAATTTTACTGTGTAAAATTTTACTGTGTAAAATCATCCCCAAGCACAGTAATGTAGTGCTGGCTAGTGTTCTAAGTGCAAGAAGGCTGTGATGTGCCTTATGAAGAAAATAAATGTGTTAGGTAAGCTTTGTTTAGGCATGAGTTATAGCACTGTTCATGGTGAGGTCTATATTAATGAATCAGTATATATTAAGTAAGATATCTTTAAAAAGAAGCACAATTTTCAAAAGCTACGTATTGATCAGTCATCAAAAAGGCTGGCAGGGAACCTAACTGTGTATTTCCCCAGTGGTTCAGTATTCACTAGTTGAGTGTTTGCAGCAACTTTATAATAACAAACTACCATGAATAATGAAATTGACTATCCATGTGTGTGTGTATAACATAGATGCTCAGTAAAAGCCTGTTAGATGAATAATAGAATAAATGATGTTTTATGTGTTTAGGAAAGTACAAAAGTACGTTCTTAAAGAACAGTCACATTTTAGCCATACAGTAAGTTTTTGAATCTGATATAATTATCCTCCATTTTACAGATATGAAAGATAACTCCAGGTCACTCAACAGGTTTAAATGGTACAGCTCAGGAGTTTTGATGCCAAATCCCACATTCTTGCCAATCTACCACTACTATTTACACCCTCAAGGATTTTTCAACTTAATAGAACCAGAATTAAAAGAACACTGCTTAAAAGTAAGGACTTTACAGAGATGTAGAGAGTGGAAAAGCATTTTATTCAGGCATCAACTACTCATGCACTTAGATACTCGTAGCAATCTCATACCTTATCTCCCACAGATGGGTATAGCAATGCCATGATTCCTTGAGATTAAGAAAAATTTTTTCACATTTTATTATTTTGTAAAATTGGAATTTATATTATAATTAATTTGTGCGTTTGATAAAGTATTTCACACATAAAACTTACCAGTGTATTAAACATCTTAACTCAATGGTATCTTAGAGTAAAGGAAATAGTGAAGTAATAGCTACTATTTTTTGAGTGGGTGGCTACTATTTGTCAAGCATTACATTGAGGTACTTTACCCACATTACTATTTAATCATCACAACAATCCTGCAGCCATTCTTATCCTCCCATCTCCATTTTAGAAATGAGAAAGCTGCCAGTCACATGGCAGTCACTCAGCTTATAAGTGAAGGAAGCGGCGTGTCTGTGCTCTTTAACTATGCTGCCCTGCCTTCCATTCTAGAAACAAACTTCAGTTGCATAAGTATGTGTAACACATAAATGTCTGTCTCTCTTGAGAGATACATACTTAGCTATTCTTTCTAGACAATATAACTAACATAACTTAAAAGTAACTTTTCCCAGAAGGAATTGTTAAATTGATCTCTTCTTCTTAGTGACGGCACATCATCACTTAAAATTCTACCAAATCTCAAAATCTTTTTTTTTTTTTTAAAGAAGGAATTTCGCTCTTGTTGCCCCGGCTAGAGTGCCGTGGCACAATCTTGGCTCACTGCAACCTCTGCCTCTCGGATTCAAGCAGTTCTGCCTCAGCCTCCCGAGTAGCTAGGATTACGCGCATGCCACCACAACCGGCTAATTTTTTTTTTTTTTTTAGTAGAGACGGGGTTTCACCATGTTGGCCAGGCTGATCTCGAACTCCTGACCTCAAGTGATCTGCCCGCCTCAGCCTCCCAAAGTGCTGGGATTACAAGCGTGAGCCACCACACCCGGCCAAATCTTGAATTGTTTATCTTGCCAGTTTTCTCTAAGGTTTTTTATATTCTCTAGAGATTTTTACATAGCCTCTTCCTTTACATTTGATCTTCCATTTGTAATATAGGTTGAGGATCCTTATCTGACATTCTTGGAACTAGAAGGGTTTCAGATTTTGGAATTTTTTGCATTTTGTAATATTTGCATATACATGAGATACCTTGGGAATGGGACCCAAGTCTAAACATGAAATTCATTTATGTTTCATGTATACCTTATACACATGACCTGATGATAATTTTATATAACTTTTTTTAATAATTTTGTGCATGAAACAAAGTTTGTGTTAAGTGCTTATATGTGGAATTTTTCACTTGTGGTATCATGTTAGCACTCAAAAAGTTTTAGTTTTTGGAGCATTGCAGATTTTCAGATGAGGAATGCTGAACCTGTATATTGCAAATGTTTACATTTTACCGTACAACAGTGAATCTCTGCTTACACTTCAGGTATAGTTAGTGAGATAAGTGATTGAGTTTCTTTTTATTTTTCTGTCTTACAGCTAATGGTTGCAGAGAAGAATGGAACAATCCGGTTTTATGATCTTTTGGCCCAACAGGCTATTTTATCTCTTGAATCAGAACAAGTGCCATTAATGTCAGCACACTGGTGCTTAAAAAACACCTTCAAAGTTGGAGCCGTTGCAGGAAATGATTGGTTAATTTGGGATATTACTCGGTCCAGGTACTTTCTTGATATGTTTGTCTATTACACACCAAAAAAAGGCAGTAACTGTTGCTAAATGATCCACTCATCCATCCTGTTATACCTGAGACTATGCTGTCAAGCGAAAGCAAGTCTTTCCTATAGAAGGCCAGAGCTATGGATTTTTATATAACATAAACTTGCTATGCAGATTTACTCTGGGAGTAACCCAGAAAGGACAGTGCAAAAGAGGAAATCTTGGATCTGTGCAATGTTGACTTATATTGGAAAATAAGAAAAACACTGACCCTGTTGCATGATGGTTCCCTGCAGTGGTTCTAAGTCATGTCTTTATTGTATTTCATCTGTTTTAACTGATTGCTTGTTTAGGATTTATTATAGTTTAAACACATTGGACATTCTGTCCTATAAAGAGAAAATACTGTTTAAACCTTAAGTTCACCCACTTGAGTTTAACACATAATTCATAAAATGCAAAATATTATCTTTTAGTTATCCTCAAAATAAGAGACCTGTTCACATGGATCGAGCCTGCTTATTCAGGTAATGTACCGTTTTTGTTGGAGCTGTGATTTGATCTTTTGACGTTGCTGTGCCACCACTGGGATACTTTTGTAGTTCTCTTCTTTGCACTGGATTTTTTTTTTCCCTTATTGTTTTATAAGTGGTTATTTTACTTTCCCGACTAAGTCATTGCCTTTGTCTTTTGGTCTAGACAAGGAGTTGATTTGTTTTCCAAATATTTTCTTTACACAGAAAAACATGTAACCACTCCACCACTACCACCCCTACAATTTGGAATATATTATGCTTCCTGATTGTTCTGTGCTGTTAAGGATGTAAATGTAGGGGAGCCCATGTTCATGTATATAAACTTTATTATTATGTGTTAAATGAAACTATGCTAGATAGTATATCTCTGCGACATGTTTTTGCTTTTCACTTAAATTAACATACATGTCTACCTTGTTCTTTTTCATAATACTCCATTGTATAGTGTGGTCCTTAAGCCATTATTTCTGCTTTTTAAGTAACAGCAAAACCAAATAAGAGACTAAAACCAGTGAAATTTTATTATATGCTATATTCCAATAAGTTGTAGAACTTAGGGATACCATTATTAAGAATAAAATACATTCGACTAAATGTAAGAATGCCATGGATCGTTAAGATACATCCTGACTTCAGAGATGTGTGAACAAATATACACCAATGAGCAAGTATCCATCAATTTTAAAATCAATGAGCTATGGTACTTATAAGTCTAGAGGAGGTAGTCTCAGGGCTTGTTGAGCAGCTCATCAATGTCATCAAGAGCTCAGACCCTTTTCATCCTTTCCCTCTGCTATTCTCAGTGTCAAGGATTGGGACTTGTTGCTTCATAGTTACAAGATGGCTGTGAGAGTTCCAGGCATAAGAGAAGTACTCCATTTGCCGAACAATTAAACAAAAAAAAAAAAGTAAGAGGAGAAGAAGGAACCCTCTCCTTTTATGGGAGATTGCTATGACTGCCTTAAACTAATTATGTCTCATCCCCTAGGGTAGGACACACTGTGCCCTGAACAAAGTTAGGCTTCACTTAGCATGGAAAAGGGGCAGAATGGCTGTCATATTTGATGCCTTATTTGTTTCTTCTACCACACTATTACCCCTTTGGTTGTGAAAAAAAGGATTGTATCAACCTTGTGTAACTTTGGAACTTAATGAAATGACACAAAATAAGCACTTCATAAAACTTAAAGTATGAGAAAATATTTATGGAATATTTTCCTGGAATTCCCGGTCTAATTGTAAAGACATATTAACAAATTTAGGATTATTAAAATCACTGGTTTTATACAAAAAGAAACCTGTTTCTGTCTAGGTGCTATGGCTCATACCTATAATCCCAGCACTTCAGGAGACCAAGGCAGGAGGATCACTTGAGGCCAGGAGTTTGAGACCTGCCTGGGCAAGATAGCAAGACCCCATTCCTACAAAAAACAAAAAATTAAAACTTACCTGGGCATCGTAGTACACACCTGTAGTCCCAGCTACTAGGGAGGCTGAGGTGGGAAGATCACTTGAGCCCAGGAATTTGAGGCTACAGTGAGTTTTGTTAGCACTTCTGCACTCCAGCCTGGGTGACAGAGCAAGACCCTGTCTCTTAAAAAAAAAGAAAAAGAAAAAGAAAAAGCCCGCTTCAGAAAAGCTTGTCATTATCCATAGGATACGATACTTAATTTTACGCTTCCTTATTTCTTAGGTGGTCCACAATTAGTGAAAATCTGTTTGCAACCACTGGTTATCCTGGCAAAATGGCAAGCCAGTTTCAAATTCATCATTTAGGACACCCTCAGGTAATGTGGAAATGTTTTGTAACATACGTGCTTTTTTTTTTTTTAATTTGTGTTTTTGACTTTTCCACTCATAGCCCCAAATTTGTAATTTGTTGACTGAAGACATTTACGTTTGTTATCTGCTTAAATTGCAAGAAAAGGTGGTTCATTTGTTTTTGTTTTTTGTGTGGTTTTTTTTTGATGTTTACATTACCAGTGACAACAGGTTTTTTTGGCCAGTATTCATATAAGAAGCTTTTTATTCTGTTGCTTTTATATTTTCTTCTTTATTTAAATACATTAATTTTGCTTGTTTGGTTGGTGTAGACTGCAAAAATGGAGTCTGGACTGTACCAGTTATTCATAGATGGATTGTATCCCATGTTTCAGCTGCGTATCAATAATGTGTATTTCACCTGTAAGGGAGCATATTTTTAAATTTTGTTTATGCTACAAAGATAAATCATCAATGCATTTCATATTTTTGAAAGTCATTTTTATTTATTAATTTTGGGGACTTACTGTGCTTCTTTAATTCTTCACATATTTTATAGCCCATCCTCATGGGTTCTGTAGCCGTTGGATCTGGACTGTCCTGGCATCGAACTCTCCCTCTGTGTGTAATTGGAGGAGACCACAAGCTGTTGTTTTGGGTGACTGAAGTATAAAGTGTTTTCTGTACCTTAGATTCACAAACTTTGTATTTTTAGTACATATTTTGAAGAATTTCTATAGTACATATTTTGAAGAATTTTTATATCAAATATACCGTATACTTTAGAAAATGTCTCAGTTGCTTTTATTAAATAAAATGTTGATGGTTTGAAAAATTATTTTTCTACTCTGTTCTCTGTGTGTGTATATATATATATTTTTAATCTTACAAAATCATATTGACTCAGCAGCTCACCTCCAGAGAAGAGATGACTAAGGAAAAATAATGCTTTTGAGTTTATCAAAAAAGGAGTATTTGAAGTGTATCCTGTTTTCTATACTTTGAGTATATGCTGTTTTTCTAATTCTCAGGGACACATTTATCAAAAGAGAAAAAAAGGCCAGGTACAATGGCTCACACTTGTAATCCCAACACTTTGGGAGGCTGAAGGGAGTGGATCACTTGAGGTGAGGAGTTCAAGACCAACCTGGCCAACATGGTGAAACCCTATCTCTACTAAAAAAATAAAAATAAAAAAAATTAGCCAAGCATGGTTTGGAAGACTGAGGCAGGAGAATCACTTGAACCTGGAAGGCAGAGGTTACAGTGAGCCAAGATCGTGCCACTTCACTGCAGCCTGGGCGACAGAGCGAGACTATCTCAAAAGAAAAAAAATCCAAGGAGAAAAAAATATCTTAGGGTATTCTGGAAGTGGTTGTTGAGTATATATATGTGTATGTGTACTCAATTTAATGTAAAAAATTGTTTTCAGTTTCTTAAATATGTGATTGATTATATTGCTCAACCCTGTTTATTATACGCAGATTCCTTTGGACGAGGTGTTCTAACAGTCTTAGAACATCTGATATATGGGATCAAAAGTTACCTTGAAAAATGACTTCTAGTGTATACCTTTAACAGCCTCCTTTTTGTGAATTTTCACTGTTCTTACCAAGAAACTTAAGTGTTTTTGAGATGGGACCTGTTGGCAATGGAACTGTGTTCACCCTCTCAAAGATCATTAAAATCAACGTTATCTAAGACAGCTGTATCACATTTTTGGGATACATCATGGTACAGTCAGAAGCATATAAAATTATGGTTCTGCTTGTCAGTCACATACAGAATCCAATACATTTTGACAAACTGCCCATTCCTGCAAGTTAATGCCCTTTTTGAAGCTTCATTTCCTCTTGTAAAGTACAGATAGGAATCATTATTTTGTGGAGTTGCTGTAAAGATTAAATAAAGGTGAATGAAAATACCTAGTATGTGTCTGTCACGTGGTTCAGAGATGTATAGAAATTATTTATTTCAGAGATGAGTAGGTCTTATTTTTGAGGTTTTAGAGATTTATGTTTAATGCCAGTAAATATTTTTTACTCCAGTTTTCTATTCTTAAGGTGTCTTAAAATAATTGTAGAATCAAGAACATTATATTTTTAAGAGATAGGAGAATGTTCCAGGTAATTAAAAGAAAGAATTCAGTGAAATTTTATAACCATGTAGATGTTTGGGTTCAACTTTTACATGCTTTAAAGTACAGATGAAAAATTTTATAGCAATTTCCTAGTCAATTTTTTAATACAGTTAAATATTATAACCAAATGATATAAATTGTTTTGTTTACCCCTTCATAAGAAGATTTTGAACTAACAAAGGAAAAAGCAAAGAGCAAGGAATTTTGACATGGTTCTCTTTAAGAATCTCTGTGATGGGGCAAGGATTCCTAAAAGCATCAGGATAGCCAAAGGGCTATCAATAGTGACTCTTACAAGAATTTGTCATTTCAGGATATGTCCAAGAAATATAAAAATCATCTCTAAGGCTAGTGTGTTCAAAAATTGTTGTCATATACTTAGAAAAATTGATGCATGAAGTGGGTGGGTTTTATTTAGGGATGGAAATTAAGGAGATGATTATGTTGGGCTTGGGTATATAAGAAATGGATTCTCTGGAATAAGGGCTTAACCAAAATATAAAAGTTGTCTGATGAAATTACCCAGTAGGGCTGGGCGCAGTGGCTCATGCCTGTAATCCCAACACTTCGGGAGGCCGAGGTGGGCGGATCACTTGAGGTCAGGAGTTCAAAACCAGCCTGGCCAACATGTTGAAAACCCACCTCTACTAAAAATACAAAAACAAAATTAGCAGGACGTGATGGCACGTGCCTATGATCCCAGCTACTTGGGAGGCTGAGCCATGAGAATCGCTTGAACCCTGGAGGCAGAGGTGGTGGTGAGCCAAGATTACACCACTGCACTTTAGCCTGGGTGACAGAGCAAGACTCCATCTCAAAAAAAAAAAAAAAATACCCAATAGAACTTCTATCTTTTAGTAGGGGAAGCTGTTTTGGGAAAAGATAACTCATGATGATTGTATACTGTTATGCCAAAAAGAGGCAGGAAGTGTTATCCTCAGAAGAAAATAGTGATTCCATTTGTGGATTAATATAGTGACTGTAAGATAAGACATTCTCAAGAAATGAGAGGGTTGCCTTTACCTGTTAGTTTCAGGAGTGAAATGTACTTTATCCTATGTAAGCATTGAGAACTCTAACCTCTTTTTCTTTTTTTAGATCTTAAAAGTAGGCTACAGGACCATGTTCCAACTTATACTTTGTTGTTAAACTTTATTGTGTTTAATTATTTTAAAATCGTATAATGTTGTTTTTTTCTTAGTAAACTTTGTTCTTCGAAATATGTTTATATTACACTAAGACAGGAGGAAGTATTTATGAGGAATTAGTTATTGGTCATCACTTCTAATTCCTGATGATAATATGAGATATTTCACATTGTGTGTATGTCCCAGTTTTAGTTTTTCCATGTTTGTTTATAAATATGTCTAAGATGGTTTTTCTTCTGTTGAAATTTAAGTTTTCCTCAGGATTGCTTCACTTAAAACATCAAAGAGAAAAAAGTTGTACTTATGTTCTAAAACTTGTATTATTTAGGACTATTGAAGCAAACAAAAGTCAGGATATCACAAATCTGCAAGATGTCAGAGCTAAATCCTACATTTTCAGAATGATGATGGGATCATAAGTCCCATTTCATTTTTATGATTTGGCTTCTACGTTATGAATATTTCAATATCTCTCCCATGCCAAAACACAAAATCACACACCCATGCACTCCAATTTGTTTCTTACTTTGGTAATTTGTGACTACATATTGACACTGACCTAGAAATGTTTCTGTTGCTGTTTTAAATCTCATGTCAGTGGAGAAGAAATTGAAATCTGGTTTGCACATTTGTGTCTGGTTTTCTGTAATTGTCTAAAATCTGACATTGTCCCAGAAACGCTGATTGGGAAGTTATGAGGCAGTATTGTGCCCAAGACTGATTTTAATAGTTTTTAGGAGAGAAAAAGTTCTCACTCTACACTATTTTCCATGTTTTTCTATACCTCAAAAAGTTAAACTCAGTTTAACCCAACTTTATACCATACAAGTAATAATAGCCTTAGCTCTGAGCCTAAATAAAATTTGCCAAATAAAAATGATAATTATGATCCATTTCCACATACTCCTCATGAGAGCTTGGTCAAGTCCTCAGAAGCAGCATTGTGTTCCAATATATCTTTATCAAACAGTGTGCTCAGCAACAAGGACAGGAGAGAACACTCAGTTTCTTTAATTTTAACACCTTGTTGATTCAAAAACATTTAACAGGCATTTGAAAAGAATTTCAAAACAATTAACATTTGTTTCTAATACATTTAAAAAATAATGCCTTTTAAAATGTGGGTAGAACTTTTTTTATTAACATGGCTTTAATTTATAGCAACCATTTGTTACCTAATCACAGTAACACAACAAAATAATTAGTGTATCAGCTTTGAAGATCTCATTTCACAAAAGCTAAAAAACACGTTATGATATATCCATTACTCAAACTCATAAGCCCTTTTGCATGCATTGGGCATAGATTTCATGGAAAATCAAAAGCATTTAGTCTACTTTCTGACATTTTCATCTGTTCTTTGAACTACCTTAATAAAAAAAAATTGTTGCCCTTATGTAGGGTCAAGTGACGTTTGTCTGTCTGAAAATTTCCTTGGATCAGCTTATTTCTGTGTAACTTATGTCTTTGTTATACAGCTATTTGCCTTTTTAACTGATTTTTAACAGGATACTTTACCTTGGGACTTGTAACACTTAATGTAAGCTTATAAAATCCACATGAACAATAGTAAGTAATGGGGAGACTACCAGGTTTCTCAGCCTTTACAAACAATTTGATTTAAAGATTTATGAAATACTGATTTCTACCAACTGCATTTATAATGCTGTAATGAGTTAAGTTTCTATTTCTATGTAGTAAAAGACAATAAATGCTGCTGGTATCTGTGCTTCTAATGGTGGTTGAACATAAAACTTTGATCTTACAAACACAGCTGTTGTCCTATAATTGAGCCAAATTCAGACAGGATTAAACCCTGGCCAAAACTAAGGTTAATCTTTGCAACCATCTCAAGTAAGAGCTTGCTAATACTGTTTTAGGAAATCTTTGTTTTTGAGACAGCGTAAAAGGAAGGAAGTTCCAGACAACTGACCTCTAAAGTAAGCCAGACGCAACTAATGATAAATTATACCATAGTGATAAAGAAGATGGAAAGGTGGAAACCGTCTAACCAAATAAGTTCATTTGGTTCATTTTTACTTAGAAAGTCACTTCTTAACTGTAATAGTCTTAGTTAACATTAAGTTTAAATCAGACCAATATAAGTTACTTTTTAATGAACTTCTTTCTACCATCTTAATGTATCTTTGGTTAATTGCTAGTACTTTCTTTCACTAATACTAAAACTAGGTGTTTATTACAAATAGAATAACTTGATTTATTTTATTGTAATTGTGTAATAGCTCGTTTTGGTTTCCAGCCTACAAAAAAAAAATTTTTTTTCATTAAGTATTAGACTTTCTGGAATTTTAAATACTTTGCCAAATGTTTTGTAGGGCTGATTCTCCTGAGATTTGGACACTAGCACCTCAAGCTGTGTTGTGAACAGCTAATAATGCATTTCTCTCCAAATTGCCTATTCCAAGGGAACGTCTGTGGGAGTACCCCTCACCTGAAATCTGTAGAGCTCTAATATTGGATTGGTCTAATAAGATTTTCCTGGCCCTTGATTTTGAGCAAGTACAGAATGTGGTTATATAGACAGCTGCTTCAGAGGTCTCACCTCATCCTAGACTTAACCCACAAATACGTTAAACCCCAAGACAATGGAACAATTCTGGAACTCTGTCACTGTTTTTTGACCTCTTTCTTTTCCCATCATTATACCCACCTAACACAATAACTAAGATATATTTTATGAATACATAATTTTCATGTAACCCTGGGTCATTGCTCCCCAACCTTGGTGGTAAGTACCTGGGAGAATATGGAACTATTGCAGGGGTTTCTCAAAATTATATTCATGCTACCATTAGCAAAATTCTCTTTTTTCTTAGAAGCCGTGACCTCCTGGGGTCCTGAGATAATATAGACAGCCCCAAAATCAAACTTACTTACATGTTCCTAAAAGACTTTGACTTAAGGTGTCTTGCCATCTTCCACTTCCTCCCCAAAACACCATAACAGGAAGGAGGGGAATGACCCAGCCAAGGAACTCTCCATTCACATTCAGAGATAGTGGCTTTTGTAGATTTCACTCAGCAATCTTGAGAGGGCAAAAAAGCGTTCCCAGATATGTGGAGATGTGTCTGTCAACCTGATTACTACATATCTTCAGATTTAGCTCTGGTGTTTGGAAATAAGCCAGTGTACTTTAACCATTCCTTCCTATGTGATATACAGGAGGCAAGACTTTCTAAGGCAGGATATATTACAGGAAAACTAATAAAACCTAGCCTGGAAAATGAAATGGAGAGAAATACTATCTTTGAATGAAAATTTGGGATTTTAAGATTAATTTCCCAATAGAGCTCACCTATATTCCTATTTTAAATTTCCCACAATAATGTATATGTGTTTGTTCAGTGAACATTAGATGTCCAACCACAATCATCATCGATGTTCTTCAAAATGTTTTTAATATTATTAAAAGGGCTTCTCATGCTGGAAAACACCATGAACCATTTTCCTGGATTGACTGGCTTTTAACTTGTGACCCAGTTATTTTTTTAAAGTTGATAGCAAAGGCTCTAGCATGATCCTTTTAAACTCTAGAAACAAAGCTTCGGGAAGAAATGTTGGTGTTGAACTTCTGAGTAGTTTTAAGTGATTTTATATGGTTGTGATTCAAAATAACCTGACCACTTTAAGAAGTCCAGGTGCTGAGTCATTTACAGACACAGCCAGGGGAGGTTAATTAGAAGCAGCTGATAGTGGCATCATTTGCTGCTTTAAAAAAAAATAAACGGAGATGGTGATTCTATGAAGAGGACGGAGTGCTAACGAAATGTACAAAACTAAGCAAAGACTCAGGACTGAGGTTTACCTAATTACTACTGCACCAAAGGGGGAAAAATATCACTCAGTGAATTCAAGATAAAGTACCATAGCTCTATAAAAATGGTAATGGTTGCTCCTAAGAAGTCCCCTTGCTTCTGCCTCTTTCTCCTGACCAAACTCGTGTTTCCCCTGTGGCCTGGCATGGCATGGTGTGCCCTCTTGGGAACTGTAAGTACTAAATTCTTTCAATAGCATTGCCCTGTGTATCACTTAGTTGTCTCCATAAGTAAAAGTCCCATGAGTACAAATGAGTACACTGAGACCTTTTCCCAATCCCCTCAAAGAAGGCAGGATAATTTAGATTGTTTGCTCTTTTACTGGGGAATAGCTGACTATAAGTATCTTTAGGTCTCTTCTCTTGAGGTAGTTAGCTTTCCAAAGTGGAATCAAGTCTCCTGCCTAGAGGATATAAGGTTACAACTCAATTTTCTGTACAAAGTTAAGAAAGCCAGAACAATTTAAAGGAATAACGGGAAACAATTCTTAACACAATTGAAGTAACAAGGCTAGAATTCCTTCACTTAACCAAGTCTCAACAGATTATTGGTATCACTCCTGAGAGATGGGATTGAGGAGGGAATAAGAATAGGAAACATTTAATTTTATTTTCCCACTATTATGAATCAACACCACACCTCTCTAACTGTTCCATCCTGAAGCAAAGCACGGAGAAATACAACAACAAAAAAAAAAAATGGGGACGATTTTTTATTGTTTCCCCACCCAAGACCATACCTGTGATAAAAGTAAATAACAGCAATTTTCTGGTAATCTTATTACCAGAACATTTCAAGAAATTGAAAAATTCTTAGTTTTTTATTAAATGAATATATGGAGGTGGCACATATAGTCTTTGAAATCAGTATTCATTACAATCTATTTTGCCCCCAAAATTCACTACAGTAAATGAAATCTGGTAATATTTTTCATTTTTACCAGTGCAAGAAAGCCTGAAGGAAAGAGTACCTATTTCATCTGGCGGTTGGCCAAGACTTCTAGGTATAGATTCTTTTTAATAGTCCTGGAAATCAGTTATTAAAATGTGAATGGCCCTGCTCTCAGGAGCTAAGGATGGAACAGTAATCATCAAAGATCCTAGGAGGCAAAGAAACTGCCACTCTAAAAACTAAACCATTTTACAAATTTTTTTTGATAGTCTATTGCTCCTAGGCCACAAACCTGTATAGCATGTTACTGTACTAAATCCTATAGGCAATTGTAACACCATGGTATTTGTGTATCTAAACATGGAAAAGATGTATGAAAAACACTTATACCTTTTACTATAATAGGTCCATCCTCTAATATGTAGTCCATCACTGATGAAATGGTTTGTGGCCCATAACTGTGTATAGAACCATATCATATACATGTATATACACACATACACATATATAAATGCCTGCTACTTATACATAACTATAACCATGAAGTTGCTGTGTTGGTTTGTCTTAATTTTTCTCCTGGCTGGGAGCCTGTCTTGGCTCTAGAGAAGAAGGCTAGGCTGACCAGTGGGGAATTCTGCTCAGGGAGACTGATTGAGTACCCAGAGTTATGAGTCCCACCTAAATCAAAGGTTAATGAAATATCAAGTAAGATGTGGAAGTACAAGATTCATTAAGCCCAAATGTCACTCAGAAGATACTTAGTGTTTACTATAGGACAAACATTGGGCTAGGACCTTAATGGTGAACTAACAGAGACTCTGCCCTAAATTGGTAATATAGTAGGCTTTCAAGCAAACAGGCAATTATATGTGCTAAGATAGAGTTAAGCAGAGAATGCTATGGAAGCATGTAAGAACAGTTAATCTAATCTGTGTGGCTTTGGGAAAGCTCTAAGGATGGAATGTTAAGACTTCTGCTACTAGTTCGAATACAGAAAGATGCATGAAAGCCTTTTATTTAGTGGTAATAAGAAATAACCAGATAAAAATCATACTTTTTATGGGGCTGTTGAAAAGCCATGTATGTAAGACCTTAATGAAATAAATTCTATAGTCATGCCTATGTTTGGAGGAACATAGTTGAGCAGAGAGCTGTGGCATTGCCATGCCCAGGGAGAAGGGCGTGGTCTGGATACAAGTAGATGGAAGAACAAGCCTGCAACACTCTAGGAGACTTTGCAGAGTTAAGGAGAAAGTGGCTAAGACTTTGCTACAAGCTGGTGAGACAGACTTGGGTCTGGAAGGACCTCAATCACGAAAATAAATCACTTGGGCCTACACCCTACCCCTAAGATTGCTAAGAAAGCAGTAATGGAGGAAATGTTTTCGGTAAGTAGAATTCACTAAATCTTGCACATTCTTATGGTGCTTGGATTCCTGAGCCCTGCTGAAGCTGAATCCGAAGGTGAACCAAATGATCTGAAACTATGGCCCATCCCTCTCTAACACAGACAAGATCCAAGAGCTCAGTCCTTTGCAGGAGGTTGAATTGAATTAACTGCAGGTAAACTTAATCTAAAGCTGCAGCCCAGCATCAGCTCAATTCAAATTGTGAATGAATCTGAATGTTCCATTTCTCACTGAACTTTGTTCTTTTTTTCACAATGTCCATAATAAAATTAAAAATTATAAGACATGCTAAAAAGCAGGAAACATAACCCATAATTAGGAAAAAGTTGTCAATAGAACCAGGCACATAGATGAACCAGAAATTGGCATTATTAGATAAGGACTTTTTAAAAACTTATAAATTTGGTTTTTTTAATATAGAGGAAAAGATGAATGAAGGGAATTTCAAGAGAAAAACAAACTCTAAAAAACAGATTTTTAGAAAAAAATACATCTGAAATCAACTTATTAGATGAGTTCTGGAACTAAATTGGAAACTAGAAAATAGTTAAATTGGAAACTAGAAAATACTTGAAGATAGGTTTGTAAGAATTATCCACACTGAAACACAGGGAGAAAAGAAAATGATTGGGGGGAAATGAGCAGAGCACCGTGATCTATGGGCAAAATCAAGCAGTCTAACATACAAGTATTTTTGAAGTCCCAGAAAAAGAGAAAAATGACAAAAACATTTTTTGAAGAATTAATGGCCAAAAATCTTTCTTCCAAATTTGATTTAGAACACCAACCCACAGATCTGAGCAGCTCAGCAAACTACAAGCAGGATAAATACAAAGAAAACCATACCCATACCCCACGCACATTATATTCAAACTTGAAAACCAAGGATAAAGGAGAGAAGATATGTGAAGAATGAGTAGGAGTTAGCCAGGCAGGGGTTGTTGGGAAGCAGGGGAGATTGTTCCAGGCAGAGGGAAGACAACATCTTGAAAGACCCACACACAGCAAGCAATTCCAGGAATTGAAAGAAGTTATTTGGGGCTAAGGAGAAAGTTATAACAGTGAGAGGTAAGGTTAAAGAAGTGGCCAAGAGCCACAGAGAGGACCTGTGAGCATAGTATCTGAGGGAGATGGGGAACAAAATTATATCCTGAGTAATATAATCAGATTTGTCTTTTTAAAAATCACTATGGCTACAATGTGTGGAGTAGCTTGGAGAGACACAAAATGGAGGCAGGAAGAGGCTATTGCAGTAACCCAGGCACAAAAGTGTGTTGTACAGAACTTGAGATATGGCAGTAAGGATGGAGAGTTACAGACTGATTCAAGAACTACTTAGGAAGTAGAAGAGGTAAGATTTGATGAATGACTAGATGTAAAGGAGGATGGAGTAAAGAGTGACTGTTAGACCTATGCAACATTTCCAGGTTCAGCCACCTACCCTCAAGTCACATTCATTACCTTGTACCAAACAGAATGTCCCGAAATGCAATTCTGATCATGCCACCCCCTGCTTAAAAGCTCTTCTGTAGCTCCCATCATTTCTCTGCTCTAGATCTTTCCATGACTTCCCATCATACCCAGAGTGAAAGCCAAAGTCCTTATGATGTCCCATAAAGCTCTGCATGATCAGGTCTCCACATAACTTTTAGCCATCATGTCCTTCAGTTCCCCACCTTGCTCACTCTGCTTCAGCTATACTGGCTTCCAATGTAAGGTCTGGGTTAGATATATAAATGTGAGAAACTCTAGAGATTGGGGACATAAGAAGCAACCAGCAAAAGAAACTGAAAGGAAATGACCATAGTGATACAAAGAAAACCAGAGAAGATCTGCCTTCCTGAAAGAAAAATTAAGAAAGTTCAATCAGGAGAAGGTGATCACGCTAAGGTTAAGCTGGGCAACGTGCAACTTTAAGAAACACCACCCACACCCAAATAATTGCTACAGATGGCCTATGAATCACATTAGATAAACATGGACTATAGTATCAAATCTGGCATAAAAGGCCCTTAAACGAAAATTTTCTGGCTACGTCTCCTGAGGCAGAATAGGGTCTGGAGGCAGGGAACCTAACGCCGATTCACGCTGACTTCCTAGAACTAAATCAAAAGGTAAACCCCAAATTTCCACACCTAAGTAACAAAAGGACCAGCGGCTACTCCCTTTGCAAATCCCCACCTTTTCTGACAGGCAGATGGAAATTGAAAGTACCTCAACCAATCAGACTGATTGCGGGCCAAATCTTCCTTTGCATAGAAGTGCAACTAAGTAACATCACTTTAGCCAATGATTGGTTGCTTTCCACAACCAATCAGATGTTTGTATAGGAGTATGACCTTTGTCATTTTACTTCAGCCTCTGATTGGTTGCTTTCCATAACCAATCAGACTGATTGTGGGCCACCACTTCATTTGCATGAGGAGAACACCAGTGTCCAATGGGAAATCTCTAGTGGGTATTTGGACCTAAGAAGATTCTGTATCCAGTACACTGTGGAGCGTACTTTGGTTTTCAATGAATCTTTGCTTTTGTTGGTTCATTCTCTCCTTGATTTGTGCGTTTTGTCCAATTCTTTGTTCAAAAGAACCTGGACACCCTCCACCAGTAACACTCTTACCTCATTTCCTACCATTCTCCATTTATGGGATTATTTGCTTCAACCAAACCAACAGGCCAGGTGCCAGTGGCTCACACCTATAATCCCAGCACTTAGGGAGGCCAAGGCATGAGGATCATTTGAGCCAAAGGGTTTGAGACTAAGGTGAGCTATGATCCTCACTGCACGCCAGACTGGGTAACAAAGCGAGACCCCCCATCTTTAAAACAAAACTGCCCACTGCAGTCTTGGTCTTCATCTTTTTGATGCTCCCTGTAAGTGGCAGTCACTTCCGTAGGTTTGTGCCTCACATCTAGTAGTTGACATTTTATTTCATGTTTTAAAAACCTTTGGAAGACCAGGCGCGTTGGCTCACGCCTGTAATCCCAGCACT
Organism: Homo sapiens; assembly: GCF_000001405.40. NCBI lineage: Eukaryota > Metazoa > Chordata > Mammalia > Primates > Hominidae > Homo > Homo sapiens. The sequence goes on along the minus strand of NC_000012.12, from coordinate 102,062,609 downwards.
CTGTGAGGCTGAGGCAGGAGAATCGTGTGAGGCTGAGGCAGGAGAATCGCTTGAGGCCAGGAGTTCGAGACCAGCCTGGGGAAATAGCGAGAACTTGTGTGTATACACACACACACGCTTTGGAAGTAGGTCTTATTTCTCATTCTTCAGGGCATAAACCTCTCCCGTGCAGCAATCAAACTCAATCTTTGTTTTCCCAGTAAAAGCCTAGCAGAGTATATGGCACTTAGGATTAACAACAACAAAAAAAAAATTGTTGCTCAAGGAATGACGGAGTTATTATATAACAGACAGGACTAAGTAGGGATAACCTCAAAAGGACGCAACTTCTGGCTTTGTTTTTTTGTTTTGTTTTGTTGCCTCCTTTCTAAGATTTCAGTGCTCTAACTGCATCCTTGCACCACCGCGCGCCACCCCGAAATTGACGTCACAATCTGGACTAAAACTACCAATCCCAGAATGCCGAGCGAGGAGGCGGGCTCTCCGGAAGCCGCCGAGTGATTAGTGAGCGGAGAAGCTTTCTTCCGGCGGGAAGGGCCCCGGAGGCGGGCACTTGGGGGGAAAGTTGAGACGTGATTACCGGGTTGGGCGGGCCCCATCTGGGAGGGGTTTGTGGGTGAACTCGGGGTCCACCGCCCGCTGAGGAGATGGATGAGGACGGGCTTCCTCTCATGGGGTCAGGCATAGACCTGACCAAGGTTTGTAAAAGACGGTGCTAGACTCCCGACGAGCCGGGAGGAGGATGGGGAAGACGCAGCTTTCCGGGGAGACACCCACCTTCCGAGTCCCCACCCTGTCACGGCCTCGGGCCCTTGTGACAGGCCTGTGGGGCCTCAGGAGGGAGAGCCCCACAGTCCACCTTGAAATGGGGTCCCTCCTGAGCTGATTAAGGAGACGGTGTGCATCTCCCAACTGTCGCTTCCCATCTCGCTTGTCTCTCTGCCGCCGGCGACACACGCCGGTTGCGATAGCTAGCCCTACCTCTTATTCAGCCCCCAAGATTTTGTGTGTGTTTATGTGTGGTGCTTTTTGCCTGCCAAAATTCGTACCAGTGAGTCTAGAGCCTGTTCTCAAACTTTTGTGCACCTCTGTCATCTTCGGACACCCCACCCACAGCTTAGGAAACAAGTTAATGACTATTCCCAGTCCTTCAAGAAATTCATATCACACAGCAAAGTGCCTCGTGATTATGTCCAAATATGAAAAGATTTGCACTGTGTACGTTCCTCCTGTATGAACCATGTTTGTTTTTACGTAACACAGGTGCCAGCTATTCAACAGAAAAGAACGGTGGCTTTTCTAAACCAATTTGTGGTGCACACTGTACAGTTCCTCAACCGCTTTTCTACAGTTTGTGAGGAGGTAGGTCCGGTGATACTGGTTTATAGAGTCGCCTGGAAATCACCTTTCACTGCTGAGACTGACAAATGGAGTAAAACAAGAATTACAGTCTTTATTCATGTACCGTGACCTCTCATCACCCAATTGTGTTAACACATCTTAGGTTCTCTTTTACTCTGTTAAAATCAATCCTGCACCCCTCCTCTACTGAGTTAGTGTTCTAGAGGTCCCTGTGAGATAGGTCAGTCAGGCTTATTGCGATTAAAGGGAACAATAGGAAATCTAATTTTTTTTTTTTTTTTTTTTTTTTTTGTGAGACAGGGTCTCACTCTGTCACCCAAGCTACAGTGCAGTGGCGCGATCTCGGCTCACTGCAACCTCCACCTCCCGGGTTCAAGCGATTCTCCTGCCTCAGCCTCCTGAGTAGCTGGGATTACAGGCATGCGCCACCATGCCTGGCTAATTTTTTATATTTAGTAGAAACGGGGTTCCAACATGTTGATCAAGCTGGTCTCGAATTCCTGACCTTGGGCGATCCACTAGCCTCGGCCTCCCAAAGTGCTGGGATTACAGGCGTGAGCCACCGCGCCCGGCTTCTAAAATTTCACAGTTGAAAACAGTTTTTATTTTGCAATTTGTCATTCGTTCCCGTACCCCAAAACCACATTGTTTAAATTTATTTTACATTCTGGATCTAAAAGATGGCTAGAGGAGATAGCCTAGAAACATAACTTTGGCATCAAATATGATTATAGAAATGAAAATATTTTCTGCAAATGACTTGTGATGTAAGGATTAAGTACCCAACTAGGGATTAGGTACCAGAACTGGCACAGCAGTGCGCACCTGTAATCCCAGCTACTCGGGAGGCAGAGGCAGGAGGATCACTTGCGCCCGGGAATTTGAGACAAGACTGGACAACAGAGAAACTCAGTGTTTTGTTTTTGTTTTTGTTTTAAAAAAGAGGATTAGGTACTAGATCCAGGATCCAGGGAATCCCTGTCTTTTAAAAAGCCAAAAGAGGATGGGGAAGACAATGGGAACCATGGGTTGAAATTGCATTTAAGGAAAGAGCAAAGTAAATTATGGGACTTAGATATTCACAAGTAAGTCTGTTGAACATTCTGTCTTATGTAAGGTATAGCCTTAGCAATTAGAGTTTTTGTTAAGTGTGTTACTACTATTAATAAAAATTGCATGGAGATGGGAAAACTATTTTTTACTTGTATGAAATTCCAGTTATTGTTTTGTCTAATTATCAACATTTCTTCTGCCTTCTAAGACAAAGTAAAATATAGTAATTGGTAGAGTAAGGGGCTTAATTCAATTTAGTTTTATATGTTAATGGCCAGAAACTAGGTGCTTGCTTCCAGTCAGTTTTATTTCGTTCCTACTATCTCTCTAAATAATTTAGGATATAAAATTGACTGAATAAAAACCAGTAAGCCAAGGTTTTCACCCTTCGATTTTTATACCAGGGCAAGATGGAGAAGTATCTGGAAAGGGACTGTCCCAGGATTACTAGCAGAAAGAAGCAAATACTCTTATCCCCATAGCCCTTATCATCAAGCTGAAAAATAAAGAACAAAGCAACAAGTAAACACACCTATGAAAGCAACTTGTTTGAGCTGTCCTGAAACAGGGATAGCCCTTCACCTTTGTAGTGCCTAATGGTTCTTGAATGAGAGCTGTTTACTGACAACTAGATCAAAGAAAACAATAGTCATCTCATTTATTGATAGATTATGATCAAAGCCTCATGAGTCACTCTTTAACCTCCTCCTGTTCCTGTCTCAACTTCTCTGCAGCTGTTCTGGCTGTATCTGTATTCTAGTACTTCTTTGAACTCTAGAGAAAAGTTTGTTCATCAAAACCTCATGAAGTTTAAAGGTAGTCTATTGCCTTTTGTCCTTTTTCAAAAATCTTATTTCTTTATTTAAATTGACAGGTAAAAATTGTATTTTTATGATGTACAACATGATGTTTTGATATATGAATACATTGTGGAATGGCCAAACCAAGCTATTTAACATAAGCAATGCCTCACGTACTTACTTTTTTTTGTGGTGAGCACACTTAAAATCGCCTCTCTTAGCAATTTTCAATACAATATATTGTTATTAACAGCAGTCACCATGACATGTAGGAGATCTCTTGAACTTATTCCTCCTGCCTAACTGAAATTTTGTATCCTTTAACCGCATCTCCCCAATCCTCTTAACCCCAAGCCCCTGCTAACCACCATTCTACTCAATATTTCTATGAGTTGTACTTTTTTATCCTCCATATATAAGTGAGATCATTCAGTATCTGTCTCTGTTTGACTGGCTTATTTCATTTAACACAATGTCTTCCAGTTCATTTATGTTGTCACAAATGACAGGATTTCATTCTTTTTTAAGGCTAAATAGTATTCCATTGTGTATATATACCACTTTTTTTAATCCATTCATCCATTGATGGACACTTTTGATTCCGTATCTTGGCTATTGTGAATAATGTTGCAGTGAACTTTCAAGTACAGATGTCTCTTGAATGTACTAATTTTACATCCTTTGGATATATACCCAGAAGTGGGATTGCTGGATCATATAGTAGTTCTATTTTTAATTTTTTGTGGAACCTCTGTACTATTTTCTATAATAGCTGTACTAATTTACATTCCCACCAACAGTGTACAGAGGTTCCCTTCATCACATATATGGTTTCCAAATATAGTCTCCCATTCCATAGGTTCTCTTCACTCTATTGATGGTTTCGTTGGCTGTGCAAAAGCTTCGTAGTCTTTTAAAATAATTTTTAAAAAATAATTTAAAATCCAGATTCTACAAACTTCTTAGTGTGATGTAATCCCATTTATTTATTTTTGGTTTTGTTACCAGTGCTTTGGGGTTTATATCCAAAAAAAGTCATTGCCCAGACCAATGTCGTGCAACTTTCCCCTTATGTTTTCTTCTAGTAGTTTTACAGTTTCAGGTCTTACATTTAAATCTTGAATCCTTTTCGTGTTAAATTTTTTTATATGGTAAAGGATGAGGGTCTAATTTCATTCTGCATGTGGATATCCAGTTGTCCCAAAATGATTTATTGAGACTGTTATTCTTAACATCTGTGAAAAGTATGTTTCTGTAACTGTCTTTTCTGTGTTCTTAACATCTTTCTCAAAAATCAATTGACTTTAAATGCATGGATTTATTTCTGGGCTCTTTATTCTGTTTCCTTGGTCTATGGCTGTTTTGATTACTGTAGCTTTGTGGTAGATTTTCAAATCAGAGAGTGTGATCTCTCTGGCTTTGTTTTTTTGGCTTAATATTGCATTGCCTGTTCAGGGTCTTTTGTGGTTCAGTATGAATTTTAGGATTTTTTTTTCTATTACTGTGAAAATATTATTGGAAAATTGATAGGGATTGCATTGAGTCTGTAGATTGCTTTGAGTGGTGTCAACCTTGTAACAACATTCATGTTTCCAATCCATGAACACACGTTATCTTTCCATTTATTTGTGTCTTCTTCAATTTTTTTCATCAATGTGTTATAGTTTTCAGTGTACAGATCTTTCACCTCACTGGTTAAATTTACCCCTATGTATTTTTTTTGTAGCTATTGTAAATGAGATTTTTTTTCTTTTTTTTCAGATAGTTTACTTTTAGTGTATAGAAATGCTACTGATTTTTGTATGTTGATTTTATATCCTGCAGCTTTACCAAAGTAGTTTGTTAGTTCTAACAATTTTTTGGTGGAATTTTTTATAAGATTTTCAATATATAAGAGCATGCCATCTGCGAACAGAAACAATTTCATTTCCTTTTTTCCAATTTCAATGCCTTTTATTTTTCCCTCTTGTCTAATTACTATAGCTAGGACTTCTAGTACTATGTTGAATAGAAGGGGTAAGAGTGAATATCCTTGTCTTGTCCCTCATCTTAGAGGAAAAACTTTCAGTTTTCACCATTGCGTATGATGCTAGCTGTGGGCTTGTCATAAATGGCCTTCATTGTGTTGAGCTAGATTCTTTCTATACCTAATTTGTTGAGAGTTTTTATCATCAAAGGATGTTGAATTTTGTCAAATGCCTTTGTTCCATCTATTGAGATGATCATACGGTTTTTGTCTTTCATTCTGTTAATGTGATGTATCACCTTTACTGATTTGCATATGTTGAACCATCCTTGTATCCCAGGGATAAATCTGACTTGATCCTGGTGAATGACCTTTTTAATGCGCTGTTGTATTCAGCTTGCCAGTATTTTGTAGAGGATTTTTGCTTCTATGTTCACTGGGGATATTGACCTTTGATTTTCTTTTCTTGTAGTGGATTTGTCTGGCTTTGGAATCAGGATAATGCTGGCCTCCTAAATTGAGTTCGAAAGTTTCCCCTCCTCTTCAGTATTTTGGAAGAGTTTGAGAAGGATTTGTATTAGTTCTTCTTTAAATGTTTGGTAGAATTCAGTAGTGAAGGCATCAAGTCCTGGGGGTTTTGTTTAGTGGGAGACTTAACTACTGATTTGATCTCTCTACTTATTATTGGTCTGTTCAGATTACCTATTTCTTTATGATTTAGTCTTGATAGGTTGTATGTGTCTAGGAACTTATCCATTCTAGGTTATCCAATCTGTTGGCATATAATTGGTCATAGCAATCTCTTATGAGCCTTCATATTTCTTTTGTTTTAATTGTAAAGTCATGTTTATTGGAGTATGAACTTATATGCAGTAAAATTTACCATTAAGTATGAGATTGGACAAATGCATAATCATACCATAATCAAGATGTAGAATAGTTGTAGAACAAGATATAGAATCACTCCAAAAATTCCCTCATGCTCCTTTGCAGTCACCCCTTTTTTATCCCTAGGAATGCATTGTTCTGTTTTCTGTCAAAAGGGCCAAATTTAATCACTGCAATGGTCTCCAGTACTGTGGAAAAATTCCTGAGCATACAAAACACACAAACCAAGTTTTTAAAAAATGAGATACTTTTAAAAATGTCTTTAGCATATCAACCAAATGAAGGTAGCTTCATATTTTACTACAGATGCTCAGATATCTTAGGCAGAATTAAGTCCACCATTGCCATATATATGCCTCAACAGTAATATTTAAGAGTAGACTGTAAAAATAAACTTACAATCTTTAGAATCGTCAAAACAATGGGATTATTAAATGACCTTTGTAAGTTAAAGCAAAGTTTATAAAGTTGTCTTACATAGTTGTGAAATAGCTAGTCTAGTTAGATAGAATTAACGTCTCCTAAAACTGACCTGCTTGAAGAACTACTGTAGGTCATGTCTTTGTAGGTAGAGTATGTGAACGAAGATTAAGTACTTGCTCTTTTGTGTTAACACTGTGTCAAGTTTCAGACTGGGGCTGGTTGATAGAAAAACTAGTTAAAAAAAACTATTTTAAATAATGGAATTGAATTTTATGGAAATTCTCTGTGGCACCAACTCAACCACAGGACAGAAACAAAAAATTCTCATCTAAACATTCCTGTAGAAAATTGGGACCATCTAAAAATTCACCCCAGCTACCACCATGAAAGAAACAAAGAAAGCAAAAACTTCTGTTCTGAATATATCAGTGGTCCCATATTCAGATACTTCTTATCTACTTGAAAAGCTTTGATGGGTGGGGCACGGTGGCCCACACCTGTAATCCCAGCACTTTGGGCCCAGGTGGGCAGATCACCTGAGGCTAAGAGTTCGAGACCAGCCTGGCCAACATGGTGGAATGCTGTCTCTACTAAAAATACAAAAATTAACTGGGCGTGGTGGTGCACACCTGTATTCCCACCTACTTGGGAGGCTGAGGCAGGAGAATCACTTGAACCTGGGAGGTGGAGGTTGCAGTGAGCCAAGATTGCGCCATTGCACTCCAGCCTGGGTGACAGAGCAAGACTCCATCTCAAAAAAACAAAACAAAAGAAAAAAGAAAAGCTTCGCTGATTCTTTCAAACACACATCAGACCTTAAGTTCATTAGCATTTATAACGTCACTGAGCTGCATTGAGCTCTGTGGCTGAAAAAGCCAATTCTTTGTATTTCTGTGGTATCAGTTGTAACATCTCTTTCGTTTCTGATATTATTTGAATCTTCTCCTTTTCTTAATCTAGCTAAAAGTTTGTGGATTTTGTTTTTCTTTTCAAAAATCCAGCTCTTAGTTTCATTGATCTTTTCTATTGTTTTTCTAGTCTCTTTCATTTTTTTCTGTTCCGATCATTATTATTTTTTTCCTTCTACTAACTTTGGGTTTTATTTGTTCTTCTATTCCTTCAGTTGTAACACTAGGATGTTACACTTTGGATCTTTCATCTTTTTTGTTATAGGTCTTTACTGCCGAAGCTTCCTTTCCTCTTAAAACTGCTTTTGCCACCTCCCATAAGTATTGATGTGTTGTATGTCCATTTTCATTTGTCTCAAAATACTTTTAATTTCGTTTTTAATTTACTTGACCTATTGGTTGTTTAGGAGCATGTTATTTAATTTCCAGTTATTTATGATTTTTTTCAAGATTCCTTCTATTATTGATTTCTGGTTTCAAACCAATATGGTCAGAAAAGATACTTGATACGATTTCAGTCTCCTTAAATGTATTAAAATTTGTTTTGTGGCATATCATATAACCTGGAGAATGTTTTGTGTGCCCTTGAGAAGAATGTGTATTCTGTTGCTGTTTTATTGAATTTTCTACATATGTCTGTTAGGGCCAGTGTTTCATTATTGATTTTCTGCCTGGATGATATGTCCATGGTGTTTGTAGAGACGGCGTCTCACCATGTTGCCCAGGCTAGTCTCAAACTCCTGAGTTCAGGGGATCCTCCCGCCTTGGCATCCCAAAGTGCTGGGATTACAAATGTGAGCCACTGTGCTGAGCTCTTTTCCATTCTTTCACTTCAATCTATGTGTGTCCATTTTTTAAAGGTGAAGTGAGTCTCTTGTACACAGCAGGTAGTTGGGTCTTATTTTTGTATCTATTCAGTCAATCTGTGTCTTTTGATCAGAGAATTTAGTCCATTTACATTCAGGGTAATTATTGATAGATAAGGACTTACTGCTGCGATTTTGTTCATTGTTTTCTAGTTGCTTTATAGATCTTTTGTTCCTTTCTTCCACTCTTGCTGTCTTTTGTGATTAGATGATTGTCTCTAGTGATATACTTTGATTCCTTACTTTTCATCTTTTGTGTATTTACTATTAGGTTTTTGCTTTGTTGTTCCCATGAGGCTGACATAAAACATGTTATAACAGGCTATTTTAAACTGATAATAACATAATTGATAACATAAAAAACCTCTGCACTTTTACTCCACCTCTCCACATTTTGCTTTTGATTTTGCAACGTATATCTTTTTATACTGCATATCCCTTAACAAGTTATTGTAGCTATTATTATTTTTAATAGTTTTGTCTGTTAACTTTCATACTAAAGATATAAGTGATTTAATCACCATGACAGTATTAGAATATTCTGAATTTGACTGTATACATTTTTTTTTCAGCTCTAAAATTTCTGTTTGATTTTTTAAATAATAATTCCAATCTTTCTGTTACATTTCTCATTTTGGTCATTTATTATTTTCTTGATTTCATTGAATTGTTTCTCTGAATTTTCCTGAAGTCCACTGAGTTTCCCTAAAACAATAATTTTGGATTCGTTGTGAAGAAGGGTCAGTTACTGGTGATTTGTTTCTTTAGTAGTGACGTGTTTCTCTGATTATTCTTGGTCTTTGTGGCCATGTGTTGGTATGTGTGTGTTTGAAGAAGTAAGGACTTACTCCAGTCTTTGCAGACTGGCTTTGTCTGGGAAAGCCCTTCACCAGTAAGCTCATCCAGAGGTTCTAGACAGGCCATCTGTTGTGGTGCATGGCAGGCTTGCTGCTGGAGTCCTTGGGTAGGCTGGCCTGGTGCCTAGGTTCGTAGGGTTGTTCCTGGAGCCTGATCCACTGGGGTGGACCTGCTGATTAGCTCTATAGGGGTGGGCCTGGATCCTTAGGGTTCCAACTTGAAGCCTAAGTCTGCAGGGGTTGGTCTGGCACTGGGGTGAGCCTTGAGCCTGAGTCTGCAGTGTCTGGCCAGGTTCCAAGGTGGGCCTGGTGCTTGGAACCCCTGGGGTGGACCTGGAGCCAGAGTATGTGGGGGTGGGCCTGGGTCCTGGTTGTACTGTGACTAGCCTGGAGCCTGAGTCTGCAGGAGTGGTCCTGCAGCCTCCGTCCATGGGGGCCAATCTGGCAATGCAATCTACTGGGGTGGTCCCAGACTCTGGGTCTGCTGGAACATACCTAGACCCTGACTCACCACAGGGATTTGTCTGGGGCCAGCTTGGTGCTGGGGCAAGTGTGCAGCCTGGGGTCACAGGGGCCAGACTGGAGCCTGAGATTATAGGTGCTGGCCTGGTAACTTGGGCTACATGGGGCTGGCCTGGGTCCTACGGCAATAGTGGCTAGCCTGGAACTTGAGTCCACAGGGATGGTCCTGGAGCCTGTGTTTATGGGTGTCAGCCCAACAGAAGGGCCTACTGGGATGGGCCTAAACCCTACTTCCACTAGGGTATGGGCTGCAGGAGCCAGACTGGGGCCACAGGAGCTGACTTGGCACTGGTCAGGCCTGGAACCTATATCTGCAGGAGCTGACCTGGTGCTGGGGTGGGCCTGAACCTTGGGCCCATGGAGGCTAGCCCTGTGCTGGGATTGGTCCAGAACCTAGGGCCACTGGGGCTGGCCTGTCCCTAGAGCAGACCTGGAGACAATCTATGCAGTCTTGCCTGGTGCTGGGACTGTCCTGAGCCTTGAGCTGGTCTGGAACCTACGGTCCCAGTGGGACAAGCCTAGAACTCAGGACTGGGTGATCCAGCCTAGTGCCAGGATGGGCCTAAAGGCTTCGCCTGCAGGTGTCAGCCTGGAGTCTGGGCTGAGGGGGCTTGCTCAGCACTGAGTTCTGCTGGGGTGGGCCTGGTGTTGTGGTCCAAGGCAAAGTCCTGTGCTCACTGCCTCTCCTTCGCCCACCTGGAGGGTATCTCTCTCCATGCTGTGCTGCCTGGAGTTGGGGGAAGGGTGACATGAGTTCTGTAAAACTGTCCTTCTTACCCTCTTCAGTGTGTTTTTTCTTACTTTTGTGCTAAACCCAGTGCTGTAATTTCTCACCTGGTCTCCTTAGCTCTTGAGAATGTATTTTCGTGCGTGAATAGTTTTTCAAATGGATGTTTCTGTGGGAGGATCAGTGCTGGAAAGTCCTATTCCCCCATCTTGCTGTTGTCCCACCTTTTTCTCCTTTATGTATGATAATCTAGGGTTGACTGTAACTGATTGTCTACAATATATATTTTAGCAATTTGGATATTCATGTCAGCTGGAGACTGCTCAATGAGATAACAACTAATATTTATTGTGTACTTCCTCTGTGCTGGGCATCATACTAAGTGCTTTATGTGTATTTAATTATCGCAGTCAGTCCTTTGAGAGAGGTTTAGTTATCCCACTCATACAGATACAGAAACTAAGATGTAGAGAAGTTTAAATCATTTGCTTAGTCATTCATTCATTCAACATATCTTTGCATGCCCCCAGTAGTTGTAGCTGCATTAGCTGCACATACACAGATAGAAAGTAGCAGAACTGGATTCCCACTGATTTTTTAACTGGAAAAGTCAATATCTCATTGCTTTCTTACATTGCACTGCTTTATCTGATTAAGAAGCATGCTTATGTCAACTTCAAGTGAGAGAGTGCAGTACAAGTACCTTCTTATAGCTATATTAAAATCTATTTTTAGACTCATTCACTTCTTTGCTATGCTATGTCTGTTTGATGTAATATATTTTTATGTCAATTCCAAAGATACATGTATTCAAATGTAAGGTGCCATTTTCTCCCAAGGTAAAGTCACTTTGGTGTTTTGAAATGTTTTTGTTAATAGTGCCTAATAGGCCTCTAGTCCTTATTTATTTAAAGCCTCAAACAAGAACCAACTGACTGTTTCTCTCAACAAAAGAGGAACCTCAACTGTTAGTTTTTGAACTGAGAGTGAACTGGGAGGAAAAAGAAAACTTTTCCCACCCCCCGACAGGATCTGGTTTGAACCAAACCCAACCTTAAACAACTTCAGTCACAGATAAACCCTCAAGCCAGAATTAAGTTTGAAACAAATTGCTAGGGTTCTTTCTTCATCAGTGGCACTGTTTCTAGAGTTCTTCATTAAAGAGAAGAGTATAAAACTGCATTCTGTGAAGAACTCAACTTTGCAAAAACTTTCTGCATATTAGGCTACTTTTGTAACTCTTCCAGTGATTGGCACCAGAGTAGAAGAGAGATTAGATGACAGAGAAAGTAGTAGAATCAGACCCACATTACAGAGGTACTTAGGGTCATCTCCTCTTCCATCACAAATCCCCAGTGAGCATTTTTATTCTTGCTTTAGTCAGCAAAATCTTATGGTCATCCATTGGGACTGCAAATTTTGAGGGGTTGGCAGGAAGCAACATAAGCTCTATGCATATTGCAGGTGAAACCTGAGCATTTAACCTTATAGTGAATTTTAAAGTCAAAGGTACTTTATAAACAGGAGTGCCAAATGTGTTACTTTGGTTTTTTGTTTGTTTGTTTAATAATTTTTTTTTCTTTTCTTTTCCCCCCGAGACGGGGTCTTGCTGTATCACCGAGGCTGGAGTGCAGTGGCGTGATCACAGCTCAGGGCAACCTCAACTTCCTGGGCTCAAGTGATCCTCCCACCTCAGCCTCCCTAGAAGCTTGGACTATAGGCATGTGTCACCACACCCGGCTAATTGTGTGTGTGTGTGTGTGTGTGTGTGTGTGTGTGTGTGTTAGAGATGGCATCTTACTACATTATCTAGGCTGGTCTCCAACTCTTGGGCTTAAGTGATCCCTCGGCCTCGGCCTCCCAAGTGCTGGAATTATAGGCGTGAGCCACTGTACCTGGCCAGAATGTTATTTTAATTCAAACTTTTTTTGTTGTTTTTTTGTCAGACAGGGTCTCACTTTGTCACCCATGCTGGAGTGTAGTGGAGTGAACTTAGCTCACTGCAGCCTAGACCTCCTGCCTCAGCGCCCCAAGTAGCTGGAACTACAGGTGCGTGCCACCACACCTGGCTAATTTTTTGTATTTTTTGTAGAGACAGGGTTTCCCTATGTTGCCCAAGCTGGTCTTGAACTCCTGAGCTCATCTGCCTGCTTCGGCCTCCCAAAGTACTAGGATTACAAGCACCCTCAGCCAAACTCAGACTTATTACATGCCTAAGATACTGGATTTTTAAATAATTTTTTTAAATTCTGAAATTTTTCTTTTTTCTAAAATCTTTAGGTACAAGCAAAAGTGCTGAGAATTGTCACATAACCTGAAAGTTTCTTTAGTGCTTATCTTCTACATTCATTTTTTTAGCCTGCCATTGGACTTAACCTTTAATCAGATAATATTTTGCTTAAATCCTTATTTGCTCTTATATCTTTAACCACTGCTGGGCTTAAGTATCAGACACAACCTAATAAAACCATTCATTGCTTCCTTTTCTGGCTTCTGGGGCACACGCAACACAGTGGGGTATACCAAGAGATCCATTATCTTAAAATACTGTTTCTCTTTTAGAGAAATGGATATATAAACAAGATATTTTACAACCATGAAAAACCAGCATTTTATTTTGTTTCCATATTCAACTAGTAACTCCATATTTCCTTCTTTCTTTTGTCCTTTTTTTTTTAACTTTATAAAATGTACTGCCTTGGAAATACATGGGTAGTAAATCAAGCTTTCAGCTTATCTGACAAATATCAGGGACTTTGTAAATTCCCCTGTTATCCCAAACCATAGCATTTCAAGTTTGTTTTCAGTCTTCATGAAGACGATGGTTAAATGGATGGGAAAGACTGTTACCTTTCCATTTCCTCTTGCTAAAACTTTCAGAGGTGAGAACAGCTACTGTCACCGATTATGTTACTTATGTTATATCCACAGTCATCCATAATTTAGAGCAGTGGCTCTCAACCAGGGGACATATGGCTATGTCTAGAGGTGTCTTTGATTGTAATAACTGGGGAGTGCTACTAGCATTTAGTGGATAGAGACCAGAGATTCTGCTACCCATCTTGTAGTGCTCAGGACAGTCCCCTGCAGCAAAGAATATTTCACCCACAAATGTCAATATAGCTAGCATTGAAAAACTTGTTTTATAGTGGTCTGGGGATTGTATAAGGAAAATGCCACAAGCATACACATCTTAGAAATGAACTTCAGCAGCCCATAAATGAACCCAGGTATACCTTTTCACCTGACAATGGCTCTTTAAAAAGTATACATTCAGGTATGTTATACCAATAATTACACTGGAACATACAAAACCATTTATTATACTGAATTATCTTTGAAAAGTAGTTCTTTCTTAATCATGCCATGGACCCTTTGACAGTCTAGTGAAACCAAATTAATGTTTTCAGGTGGATAGAATAAAATGCATAGGATTACAAAAGAAACCAGTTATATACTTAAAAAAATTTAAAACTATGACATACTAGTAGGTTCTTTATTAAAGCATTAAATTATATAATCCTTTCATATGTCTAATAACCTTAATTTTGAAGTATAAGGAAATCTGCAGCAATTGTGATGTGATTTAAAAAAAAAACTATGATTTCTATTGGTGACAGTCTTAGATCCTAAAACCACTGTGATTTTTTTTCTTTTTCTTTTTTTTTTCTTTTGAGACGGAGTCTCACTCGTCGCCCAAGCTGGAATGCAGTGGCGTGATCTCAGCTCACTGCAACGTCCGCTTTCCAGGTTCAAGCGATTCTCCTGCCTCAGCCTCCTGAGTAGCTGGGACTGCAGACGCACACCACCACACTTGGCTAATTTTTTTTGTATTTTTAGTAGAGTTGGGGTTTCACCATGTTGACCATCCTGACCTCAGATGATACACCTGCCTCGGCCTCCCAAAGTGCTGGGATTACAGGCATGAGCCATTGTGCCCAGCCTATGGTGATTTTTTTTTTAACTATGTTTTTAAACAATGCTGAATTTAAGCTAGAAGTAGATAAAAATAAAGGTAGAATTTTTTCTCTCATCCTAGTTCATGTACTGTAGTTCAGAACCACTTTGTAAATGATCATCTCAGAATCAGAAGAGCAAAAGGCTTTTCCTCTTGGCACAGAATCATCTTAGTGAGAAACGAATTGATCATTTGTTAGCTTTGGATAACAAAAATTCTGTGCAATACCCAAGAATTTACCATTATGTTTTAACAGTGTAAAATTATCTCAAAAAAATCTCGTGAAGTGTATTGCCTCTGGAGTTGGAGGGTTTGAGTTCAGGATATTTTACTTGTATGAGACTCAATTTTCTCATCTTTAAAATTGGCATAATAGTTCCTACTTTATAGATTTGGTGTAAGATTTCAATTGATATGTTGCATATACACTGTACCATATGTAGCAAGGTAAATACTCAGATATTTACAGTATTGATGATTATTGCTTAAAAGTAAATATATAGGTATATTAAAACAGAAAAATTTTTAATTCCATTTTTTTGTTTCCTTTTGTGTTTCCTTCAATCAAACCAATATGTCCATTTTTAAATAAGTTGGAAATTCTCATTCACTTTACATATTAATTTGCTGTGGAATTTTTTCTCTAGTGAATTGAGACTGATTAGATTTGCCAAAATTAAATTTCTATGATTTTAAGGAATACACTTATAATTTGGAGAGGGATTCATTCATAATACATGTTATAAACCTGTATTGGTGTTTACCTAAAAGCCTTATGTGAATGAATTCTAGAAGTCAAGGGTAAACTTAGCTTTGATACCATGAAAACTAGATCCTAATACTTTATTTGTAGATTATGTCTTTGTCGATATCAAGATGCTAAACTAAAAATAAGTGATCTGTAAAGAAGCACTATCTGCTTTGTGGCCACTTTCAGTTTTTTGCCCCCTCTAATTGTGGGCAAAGTGACCATTTCACAGGATGGTAAAGTTCTACTTAATAGTCAGGATCTTAATAATATCCCAGAATACAATCAGGATGCTGTGTATCTGCCAGCTTGTAAACTGGGCAACTGCTCTTGGATTATGTGACTGAATATAATGTTTAAGATTAGGAGGTTTCAAGTAAATGTTCTTTACTTGAATGGTCATATTTTATGATGCTACCTTTCTTTGTATAGGTGTATATTTACACAGAGGTACATTGACAATTTAATTATACAGAGTAACAAGCATGATAAGCTCTTCTATCTGGTTTATCTTGCATTTTGATAGTAGATTTTAATACTCTAGTTTTTTCTCTTCTCTTTCCAAAATGAATTACTCATCTTCCAATTCCATTCCCCTTTATTTTTCAAACTACAGATGTTTAAATCTGGGACGAATTGTATATGCTGATGCATTTAAGTAATTTATAAAGGCAGACCTTGTTGCAGCGTGTCTTTGAATAATTTTTATTCTTTTATTTTCTATGAAAAAATTTCTTCATTCATCAACAAATAATTATTAAGCTCCTATTAAGTGTCAGGGTACTATTCTGGGCACTAAAGGTACAGTAGTAAACAAAAGGCTCTGTCCTGGTTTGTTTATATTCTGGTCTCAACAATTGTTTACTGCTCTGATAATGAGTTTGCAGAAAATGTCAACTTTGTTATAAGTGAATATAATTTTATAAAATAACTGAGAAGCGACTGGGTGCGGTGGCTCACGCCTGTAATCACAGCACTTTGGGAGGCCAAGCAGGCAGATCACGAGGTCAAGAGATCAAGACCATCCTGACCAACATGGTGAAACACTATCTCTACTAAAAATGCAAAAATTAGCTGGGCGTGGTGGCACGTGCCTGTAGTCCCAGCACTCGGGAGGCTGAGGCAGGAGAATCACTTGAACCCAGGGGGCAGGGGTTGCAGGGAGCCGAGATCGCACCACTGCGCTCCAGCCTGGCGACAGAGCAAGACTCCGTCCCAAAAAAAAAAGAAACTGAGAAGCATTATAATACACGTAATAGAAGAGTTCTCATTCCTACTCATGTAAATAAGACAGTACTGTATTAGAATATGACAAATATTTAATGGTTTTTAATATTTTCATATCTGCCCTTAGTTATTGTTAACAGTTTATTTTAATTAAAGTCTTTATGTCTCTAATTTTTCTTTTACAGAAACTGGCAGACCTTTCACTTCGTATCCAACAAATTGAAACAACTCTCAATATTTTAGATGCAAAGGTTGGTATTTCTCAATAATTTGTAGTATAAACTTTGCTGTGCATATACCAGCTTTCTTAATCATACTTAATTTTCATTGCATTTGGGAGTGATTCCATTTAACTTCTGTATCTGTGAAGTGATACTGGTTGTGTTTTTAATTTTACTGCAGTTGCAAAGAAAATGGTGTTCATTATGAACCATTAATTCAAATGTACACATGGTTTGCGATTTCTTTCATTGTGCTAGGCAAACGCATAATGCGAGTAACATGTTAACAAGCTGAGCTGTTATCTAGTTCACTTCATTTGATAGAAAATTCCAGATTTATTTTACTAGTTATTATTTGATAATACAATACTAATATAAATCTTTAGATGTCTCAGAGCAAATTTTAGAGACAATATCAGCTGTTTCTATTTGCAGATACCTTAAATGCTAATGAGGAATACCAGTTTTGATGTCAGAAATTGCAAATAATAACTAAGAAAAATAGAAGACTGTTTTAGATTGCAAGCTTAAAGATTTTGATAACAGTGATGTCTTTGGTTTCATTTTTAATATTTTTTTACATGTGTTTTTTCTGTTTATAAAGTTATGGAGACACTAGTGTATTTTCATGACTAACTTTCCTGAAGTTAATATTTTCTTTGTCCATTTACCAAAATAAAACTAAGAAATATTCTGTAAATATTTATGAGGAAGAAAAAAATGATATCCCTTTTTAATATGACCAGAATGTCTAGTTTGTACTTTCTACGTCTCTTTATGGACTTCAGCAACTGTGTTTCTCTTAGAACATTTCTCTAGTTTGGAAACCCGGTCTTGAACATGTTCAAGATAGTCCTCTAGCAGCCATACCCACTTGAAACTATTTGGGCCATAGCCACTGTGCTAACTATGGTTATCAGTCAACAGTTCTCAATGAGTATTGCTGCTTGAGATCTTATTACCATTGGTTTTTTTTTTAATTATTATTCTTTATAATGAATATGTGTCTTATTTTAATGTGAATATGTGTCTTATTTTAATGTTTAAGGAATTCCTGGGAGTTAGAGTCCAAGGTCGCACATTAAATGACCATATGGACAAGTTAACCTTAGTTATTTCCATGGCCATAGAGTCATCCCCAAAGTTAGCCAAACATCGACAAATGCGTGTCATTGATATCAGGATGAACTCAGAAAAGAAGGTTTGTATGGGTCTCGCAGATCTAACCTGAAATGCTTAACTATTTCATAGTGAAAGCTAAACCATTTCAGGTTGAAATACCAACAATATGCCCATTTTTTTGCATAGAAGAAACATATTTTAATAACATTCAGTGGTGAATGTTCAAAGAAAGAAAAAAGAATGAGCTGTGTCACACATTAAAGTGTAAAGACAAGAGTTTTGTCATATCCTAGATAATTGAAACTCAAAATTTGCACAAAGCCCTTTTTTTTCGAAGTATTATCAATAGAAATATTTTTACAACAACTTTTCTAGGTACATGTTCTTATCTCCACTTTACAGGTGAGATAATTGAGACACAGGGAGTTTTACACAAGATCACACAGCTTGTGAGTGGTAGAGCTAAAAGTTAAACCTGACAGTCTGACTTCAAAGACCAGGCTCTCAGTCCTTACACTAGGATTGTCTATATTTTGAAAATGATGGTTATGTAAACTAAATTAGATTTTTGAGAAGTTCTTCAAAAGAATTTGTGACCGTCTTTCACTTTTAGTTTATGACATGGAAAATTAAAGACAAGATATTGTGAACCTATTTGTATAGCCTTAAAACTTAAGACAGCTATTAAAAATAGTGTTTATTTATGCAAGTACTATCTTCATATTCCAATACTAATTTTCTTTTCTCAGTTGTCATCTATCCCAGGCCTAGATGATGTCACAGTTGAAGTATCTCCTTTAAATGTCACCAGTGTCACAAATGGAGCACATCCTGAAGCCACTTCAGAGCAACCACAGGTAAGTGAGTTCTAAGAAACGAGCAGATGTTCTTGGTTGAAACTGATAGTGTTAAGCAGCAGGTTGGAAGGAAGAAAAATAAACATGTAAAACTTCTAATAGTAAAATTTTAAAACCTTAACATAGAAAATGAAGTTTGGGAAAAACAAATTAGCTGTGTTATTTTGAAGGGCTTCCTGAAGTTAATACTTTCTTTGCCTGTAAAAAAGAAAATCAGTCTATATAGGACTAGGAAAAAGCTTCAAATAATTATTTTCTTCAAAATAATTAGAAATTTTTCTAGGTTCTTAGAAGAAATGTACTTTTAAAATATTTTATTGTAAAATTTTTAAACATACACAAAAATAGACCTGGATTCACCAGTTTTCACAATTGCTTCATCTATTTTTTTGGTCACTTGCTGAAATTAATTCCAGACATCTTGTCATCTCACCCTGCATAAATTTTTGAGCATCTCTGAAAAGTTTTGACATTTTCTTTTGTAACATTTGCTTATATAAATGCCTTTATCATATACAGTGTAATTAACAATAATTGGCCAGGTGCAGTCACTCAGGCCTGTAATCCCAACACTTTGGGAGGCTGAGGCAGGTGGATTGCTTGAGCTCAGGAGTTCGAGATCAGCCTGGGCAACATGGTAAAACCCTATCTCCACTAAAAATACAAAAATTAGCCAGGTGTGGTGGCACGCACCTGTGGTCTCACTACTCGGGAGGCTGAGGTGGGAGGATCACTTGAGCCCACGAGGCAGAGGTTGCAGTGAACCGAGATTACACTACTGCACTCCAGCCTAGGTGACAGCGCAAGTCCCTGCCTCAAAAATAAAAAATAAATAAATAAATAAAACATTCTCTGGTATTGTCTAACCCCTTGTTACTCAAGTACACGCCATGGACCAACCACATGGGCATCACCTGGCAGCTTGTTAGAATGAAGCATCTCAGGCTCCACCCCAAAACTGCTGATGAGAATCTACATTTTAACAAGACCCCTAGGTGATCTGTAGGCTCTTAAAATTTGAGAGCTACTGATCTTAGAAATACCAGTGTGTTTTTGAAGATGATTCGTTTGAATCAGCATCCCAGTAAAAGCTATACTTTACATTTGGCTCTTAGATCTTAACATTTACTTATGCTTCTGTATGAATTTAAATTTTCTATTACTTTTTATTTCAAAAAATAAAAATTCTTTGTTGTTTGAGAACAATCTCTAGTGTATCTCAGCGAGGTATTAAAATCTAAAACAAAGTAATCATCAAAATGGTGGCCTACCAAAGTAATAATAATAAACAAATAAAACAAACAGATTTATAAATGGAATTCTGCCTTTGTACCTGGAGGCACTTTTCACAGGATATTTTTTAGATCACGATGATGTTGACAGTGATGATAACAGCTAACACTTCAAGAGTGCTTTCTGTGTACCAAGGCATGCACGTTTCTAAGTGCCTTTCATAAACTAATTTAATCTTTACAACAGCCCTATAATGTAAGCACCATATTATCAATCTTAGTTTATAGATGGGTCAAATGAGGTATATAGAGGTTAAGTAACTTGCTGAAGGTCGAAAAGTAACGTAAGAGCTAGAATTTTAACCCAGACAGTCTGGTGCCAAGAGCCCTAGCACTTACCTGCTTCACTACACTATACTACACTACACTACACTGTTTTCAGTACCTGTATTCAATTTATTTAAACATATTGAGGATGCGTGGTATGAGGCCCTGTAGAAAGAGCCATATATTTAGAATATAGTATATATTTGGGTAATAAATTAGATGATCATTTACTTAATTAGATATTATAAAATTTAACATCCATTTATTTAATATAGCAAATTTCATTATGGCCACTCAAATATATAAAATGTGCAAGAGGATATCCAGATGTTGTAGAGGAGTTTAACTTTACATTCTCTCAATTAAATATGACTATCCTCTTTCTAAAATAAAGCGTCTATAAAGAATATTAAGAAAATATTTCCACACTACCTAGTAGTTATTATGTGGTAGATAGAGCTGTCATATATTTCTGTAAGATTTTTAAGTATACCTGTCTAACTTTGATTATTAATTTTTCCAGGTGCTATTATGAATGCCATCTATAATATGCCCTTTAAAATTCTTATGCAGTTGTGTTTGTCCTCACATATTTAATGTCCCAAAAATTGATTACCAGTAATCACAGCTGAATTTCTTAATTTGCTTTGCAAATTCAGAATAACCTGGTATATCTCTGGCAATTTTATTTAAAAATTGTATATGTATTTATTTAGAGGGTTTATGAAGTTCTGTTGGCTTCCAAAGTTTGAAATACTGTGATAAAATTGTGTGTTGATTAGCTTAATAAAATAACTGCTCAGCATGTTCTTAATATTCACATCAACTTCTCATTTATTCATTGTTATTAATTGGTATATTTTATACAAAATATTTTGAAGTGGGCTTAAGTATTGCTTAATCCAGAGTTTTCATTGACATTATAGTCAACTCACTTATCAGACAAAGGAGAATAATGCACTTTTTAAAAAAATCATCTGTTTATCACTCTCTCTAATCTATACATGAGTCAAAGACCCAAGGTTTGTGTACTGATTTTTCTGCAACTTTAATTTCATGGTTCAGATTTCATCATTATTCACAATAGAATATCCAATTGTGCAGAGTGAGATTGATTTGAGAATAAATGAAGGACAGTTGAGAGATATGATAGAGGATTTAATGGGTCATTCAAATAGCAAAGGTGTAATACATTTCATAATTAAACCTTGTTGAGGTCTTGGTTATTAGGCAAAAGTTAACGACTGAGAATTGATATCTGGCCAGGATGTAGTTCATTTGCACCATTTTGCTATTATATGAGTTTAATTTCCATAAATTGTTAAAAAACATACTTGGTTATTGTTTTAATTTTTTATTTAATTAACAGTGTTTTGGAATTTTTGTATTTGTATTATAGATGAATATGTGTGTGTGTGTGTGTATATATATGTATATATATATACTCACTTTGGTAAAACTTAGCAATATCATGTAACAGAAGAAACCTAAAGGATTTTTGGATGTTTATTTGCTTTGTAGTTTTTGACAGATTTAATTTATATTTGAATTATCTGAGGAAAAACTTCAATATGTAATTCACATTCATAGTCTAAAGACTATGAAGATATAAAGATATTGATTTATCTACATTTCAGAATGAACAATAGACATAAAATTGATTTCTTCTAAGGAAATTCTTTTAATGCTTATATACAGATAATGAGAGAGATTCACCAAAGTAAGCTTTTTCTAAATGTTTGGTTTGATAGAAAAATCAAGTACTGTATACAGGCAGTTCTATCTAGTTTTGCATTTAAGCAAGGATATGGTTCTCATATGCACAAGTTTCAGTAACATGGTACCATGCAAAATGAAGACTGCCTGTATAACAATAGCATTTTTATCTAAAAAGACCATTCCCCAGTATTCTTTATTGTAAGTCATATTTAGTATGACATTATGACTTTTAACCACTCTGTAGACAATGTTACCATTAATAGTTCCATCAGTATCTGAAATGTATAAAACCAGATAATTTTGTCTGACAAACTGGCTTCTCTTTTACAACTTCTCCAAAAATTGCTTTCTAAAAGTTAGAAGAGCCATGTCCACTTAGAATAAAATGATTTAATAAATAAAGGGCTCAATTAGGTAGATTCTAGATACCTAGGAAATCAATTCATCATTATCTCAATAAATTTATTATTAATTTGTAAACAGTTGATAGTTTTATTAGCTTTCTTAAAAGTTTTGTTAAAATAGTATCACCACCTATATATAATTCATGCTTTGTATCAGCACTCTGGGGACAAGTAAAGCAGAATTTTTATTTTAATGCATGAATATACTTGCATTTTAAGGAACCAATATAGTGTTGAAATGTAACCTTCTCTGAAATGATATTTAAATATTTGTAGATATTTGGAAACATATCTCATATTAAATTATTGGTATTTAAATTGGGGGAGATGATTTTTTTCTGCAATTTACTGCCTTAGAATTATGGAAAGAAACATTCCTTTTAAGTAACATGATAGACCCCTTTTGTAAATTGTCTAAAGATTTACACCAAATACTCTCTACAGCAGAACAGTACACAAGACTCTGGACTACAGGAAAGTGAAGTATCAGCAGAAAATATCTTAACTGTAGCCAAGGATCCAAGATATGCCAGATATCTCAAAATGGTTCAAGTGGTAAGCTAACTTGGTCTGTCTTCTTTGTGTAGCAGCCTCACTTGAAATTCTTAACCCTGGAGGTTTTACTGTTATTTTTTTCAATCTGAGAAAACTGCTAAACCAAGTAACCAAGTTTTCTATTCTCTTACTTCCTTTCTATTTTAATTCTCTGATTAAAAAAAAAAAAGGAAGTCAAATCTTTAGAATTGATCCCACACTTTAAATTAACATAGTTTAATATAGATTTATGTACATTTTTTTGCATTACACAAAGTTATCAATGCAAATCTTAGATACAGAAAGTAATGAAAGTAGACTATTCATTTGGTAAATCAGTTGACTCTAGCTTAATCCCCATATTATTAGCACAAATAATATTTTTTAAAAATTTTTATGTTTATCAATGATCTCTTGGCCATGTGTAATGCTTTTAATATTATATGACTTCAGAATTCATATTTTTCCTGAGAAATCATAACATGCTGTGGTACCAAAAATATCTGCAGTTGTCTGTGATAGCAGAAGCTAACATTTTTTTATTCCTTTAGAAAGTATTTCAGTAGTTGAAAGAGGTAGTTGTCCATCATTTTTCTGTTAATCAAACAGTTAAAGCCTGGCGCAGTGACACACACCTCTAATCCTAGCACTTTGGGAGGCTGAGGTGGGAGGATGACTTGAAGACAGGAGTTTGAGACCAGCCTGGGCAACAAAGCAAGACCACCTACTTCTACATTAAAAAAAAAAAAAAAAAAAAAAACCTAACTCCATATGATGGCATGCACCTGGTAGTGCCAGCTACTCAAGAGGCTGAGGTGGGAGGATTGCTTGAGCCCAAGAGTTCAAGGGTGCAGTGGCTCACCTCACTGATTGTGCCACTGTACTTCAGCGTAGGTGACAGAGCAAGACCCTGTCTCAAAAAATAATAATAATAATAATAATGCTTTTGTAAAATTATATTATCAAGCAAAAGAAGCACAATACTAATACTAAAGGACAGTTTTGTTTTGCTGTCCATGGGATAGTTTATCACCTAGTAATTTAAAAGCAAATTCTGACAACCAGAAAGAGTAGATTGGCTCATTTGGAAGCTGCACTTTTCCTAGCTATCAGAAGTGGATTTTTCACTTCCACAGTTCTTTTTTTCTGAAGCCTAGAGCTCAGGATATTGGCGGTCAATTTAGAAAAAAATAAACCAGACTTTGGGATGAAAATAGATGAAGTTTTTTTAATTAACAAGAATAAAACAAAGCCAGTTTAAGTATGAATCATGATGAACACGTTTTTAAAGCTAGAACCCAGGAAAGCCTAAGCTTAAAAGATAGACTTGTTAAAAAACAACAACAACAACAACAACAACAAAAACTATTTCACTCTTTTAAACAAAAGGGAGATGCTTCTAAATGACTCAGAAAGATTTTTTATGTTAGCCCCTTCTTGCCAAACCTATATAAAATAACAAACAGGAAAATCTACTAGGTGATACTCTGTAAAAATGCCCTGAAATCTTTATGAAGGCTGCATCTTAGGATAACTGTTAAATTCTTGATAATTGTCTTCAATTTTATAAGAACTTCAAAAAATCTTTTTCTTTTTAAATCCACCATCTGTTTATTTCACAAATATTTATCAAACACTTACTTGAAGCTAAGCTACTGTATTAGGTATTATCTAGATTTATTTAGCCAACTAAGGTTTCCAGATACCACTTGCAATTTTTATTTTTGTTACTAATTACGTCAACAAGTTCAATTGCTTTTCAGTCATAAATATACATATAAAATAAATGACCCGGGCCGGGCATGGTGGCTCACTCCTGTAATCCCAGCACTTTGGGAGGCCGAGGCGGGCGGATCACTTGAGGTCGGGAGTTTGAGACCAACCTGACCAACATGGAGAAACCTTGTCTCTACTAAAAATACAAAATTAGCTGGTCATGGTGGCACATGCCTGTAATCCCAGCTACTCGGGAGGCTGAGGCAGGAGAATCGCTTGAACCCAGGAGGCGGAGGTTGCAATGAGCCAAGATCACGCATTGTACTCCAGCCTGGGCAACAAGAGTGAAACTCTGTCTCAAAAAAACAAAAAACAAAAAACAAAAAAAAAACTGAATAAAATAAATGACCCTTTAAATATTTACTTTTTATTCATATGTCTTATCACCTCACTAGGAATAAGAGCCAAGATCCTTCACAGGCCCAAGAAATCCTATACAGTTTAGCTCCCCTGTTACCTTTATGATCTCATATCCTCACTCACTCTTCTCCAGCTCTACTGGCCTCCTTTATGTCCCTTGAATAAATACATTGGCAGCCCCTGTCTCAGGGCCTTTGCTTCAGCTGTTCTGTCTGCCTGAAACACTTTTCCCCAGATATCTTCATGGTTTGCTCCCTCACTTCCTTCAAGTCTGTATTCAAAAATATTACCTTCTAAGTACAGCCTTCCTTGGCCACCCTATTTTAAATTGCAGTGTCCTCCTACCCAATTCCCTTTACGCCTTCTCTGCTGTATTTTTCTTCTTATCAACTTCCAGCATTCTACATATTTTATGTATTTACTCTCTCTCTTCCCTACAAAGTTATAAACTCCACAAGCAAAGGGGATTTTTTTGTGTACTACAGTATTCCTCATTCCTGCAATAATACCTTGTACATAGTCCTGTGAATGAAAATGCTTATAATTTGTCTATACTATTTCACCTTTTGATAGGTTTAGGTGATGGACTCCTTTTTCACACTAACTCAGTGGTTTGAGAAACTTCCAAAATATAAGTTCCTGGGCCCTACCCTACAAAATTAGAATCTCTAGAGTTGGTACTTGGTACATACAGCATATGTATTTTGGAAAAAAACTCCTGATTAAGAATTGCTTAAAAATATTTTTAAACTATATCTTAATATCATTTACATTTTTTAAATTTAAAAGCATTTAAGAAAATAAATAGTTGTTTTATTTTTAAAAAGCCTTAACTTTTTTCTAGCAGTACTTAGCACTTAACTCTAGCCCATCCTTTTTGCTTGATGTCACTGAGTATGATTAGGGGTTCAATTTCTTCTGCCTCAGACTGTTTCTGATTTAAGACAAATTTTTCTGTTGTTAGCCCTTTGTCTCCTTTCTGCCTTCGGTGAGGGTATATCTATTTCCTAAGCATTTTCAGCATTCTGGAAGGGCTGCTTCTTCCTGGCATCTCCTCCTTCAGGCACATGGACTTGACCTTCTTTTGCTCTGCTAAGTCATCAATCATTCTTCTATCTGCTCTTAATTTTTATGTAATTGGTTCATATATGCCTCTTAGTCATTAAAGTTGGAGGTCATATTCTGTTTCGAATTGTTTAGGGGTGATTTTCAAGAAGAAAGTGGGGAGCTACATCAAACTGCCATCCT
The DNA here is from genome assembly GCF_000001405.40 of Homo sapiens. Lineage (NCBI taxonomy): Eukaryota > Metazoa > Chordata > Mammalia > Primates > Hominidae > Homo > Homo sapiens. The sequence goes on along the minus strand of NC_000012.12, from coordinate 102,036,504 downwards.
AAAACTAGAAGTTCATCCAAGTTAAATTTAATTTTATTGTTTTTAGTTTATTGTGCCAACCTGCATCCCAGAACCTTATTACCCAACTTTTATTTCCTATTGCTCCCTGTCCTGAATTGGATTTTTTTTTTTTTTTTTTTTTGAGACGGAGTCTCTCTCTTGTCACCCAGGCTGGAGCAAAGGGGCACAGTCACGGCTCACTGCAACCTCTGCCTCCCAGATTCAAGCGATTCTCCTGCCTCAGCCTCCTGAGTAGCTGGGATTAAGGTGGTGCCCGCCACCACACCCAGCTAATTTGTGTACTTTTAGTAGAGACGGGGTTTCGCCCTGTTGGCCAGGCTGGTGTTGAACTCCTGACCTCAGGTGATCCACCTGCCTCAGCCTCCCAAAGTGCTGGGATTACAGGCGTGAGCCACCACACCCAGCCCTGAACTCCATTCTTTAATCAGACAAAACCACAAACCATTCCCTATATAAGCTCCATGCTTTTCCTTCTCTGAATCCAGATTCTCTTTCTCTTTATTATTGCATGTCCAAATTCTGTTATCTAACATGCTCCTACGATTGCGTCCACTAAATCATTCCAGATTCTAAACCCACCAACACACGTAAAGCTAGAAGTAATAGCTCCTTTTGTTGACCTATCCAATGACTTTACCGGTATTCTTCCTGGAGTTTGTCACTTAATACTCTGTTTTATGATTATCTGTACATATTTTTGTATCTCCAGTTGAAAATGGAACCATGAGAGGGAGAATGGTATCTTGATTAATCCGTGTATTCATTTTAACACCTTACCCATAAAGGTGCTCAATCAATATTTGTTAATGGACTCTATATGTAATCCTGCATATGATCTCTCCTTCTTCACTTTGTGCTACCTGGATATGTATAAATATGCTCTCATTTCTTCAAGTTATCAATTTAAAATATTTTTCAGGACTAAAACAAGAATAGACCCAGCAGAGGTCTTCCTCAAGGTTGACATGAATCTGCCAATCATTATTTTTTGGATTATGATTATTGAACCATCTATAAATTCACTCCTTCTTCTTCTGTTTTCTAAGCATATCATGAGTGACTGTCAAAATTTCCAACAACAGATGTAGGCTACACATTTGACAATGCCCAGGAATTTTCTTTCCTTGGCATAATCACTACCAGAATTCCTGTCCCTTCTTCATTATCATTTATTTTGGCCTTTGTGTTCAAACTTAGGCGCAAATAGTTGCATGTTTGCCTCATTGCTCCCTTTATTGAGGAATTAAATTTTCAGTGGGGCAACTTAGGAATTTATCAGGTATTCTAATATAGGCAAAATTAAGCTGCTAGTACCTGTAGATGGATAATATCCCCCGTCATGTCTGTATCTTTCTGCTTGTTTACAGTGTTTTAAGAAAGCCTTATCTAAATCTTCCATCCGGCTAGGTAGCTAAAAAGTATGCCCCATCTGATAAAATTTCTGCCTTCTTTTAGCCTCACTTAGGGGTTTCTTTATCTCATGTTCAAGAATTTCCATATATGTGTATATATTTTGATTTACGGTTATTGTCCTCTTTCTGCTGGGAAACATTGTAAGACATTTCTTTGAAATGCCAGTTCTCATACACAAGTTTCTTCCCATTAAGTGTTAGCAGTCCCCAAGATTTACTTATTTTGAAATTTCAGATTTGCTGTATTTACATACTCACACACACACACACACACACACACACACACACACTTTTTTTTAGGCTATTGGATTTGTTTGCTGTTTACATTTTCCTCCTAATAATTTCCTGGCAGTTATTCCACTGTTTTTTCCCTATTATATTATTGTTATTCGTAGGTCTAGTCTTAAAATTTTAACTGAGGATGTTTTAATCTTTTGATTTCAGCGTAAAGCTTCTTGAACATACCTGTGGGTATTATGTCAACATAATCTTTTGGTTCTTCCAAACCACTTAGCACTTTTCCAAGAGTACAGTCATTCTAATGTCATAAGTTATCACCTAAAATATTATTCTTCAGCAGTATCTGCATAGCTAGTTGTGTTTCCTATATCCATTCCATTACCAAATTATAACTTTTAACTGGAAGAGCAGATAACAGTACCACTTTGCTTTAGAAAATGCCTCAGAGAAGTGGAGTGAAGAACAATCACGAGAGACCTATTATAATTTGTACCATTGAACCATTCATTTTCTGTCATTGACATGGAAAGAATACAGATAGCTTTGTATCTCTATACCTCAGGATGGTGATATGCCTTCCTATTTTCTGTGTTTGTCTTCTAATCAGTTGTTCACTCTGAAAATGTGGTTCAATTCTTTGAGTATAACTGAGAACAAACAGGGTTCAGGGGGATATAGATAAAAAAGCAAATTTGACCACTGGCTATAAGGAGGAGCCTAACCCCAGCTAATTCTAGAGGGTGACTTCATTACAGACTACCTTATCATACTGAAAAGTGTTTCACTTTCCCAACAAGATTTTAGATATGTATTAAAATACCTAATTTTTCTCAACTTTAGGGGTGACTAACATTTGCTTACCCACCACTCAAAATTCAGTTTTAGTTCTTAATGCAGAGAAAGACCGATAACAACATAATTCTTTAAATGAGTTCTAATTTGTCCATTAGTATGACCTTGAGTAGTTTACCATCCATTGTACATATGACTACAGCTTATAGAAACAGTTTTAGAAGCCTACATGTCAGCTTTTAGGGAATTGTTTATATTAACACAAAGGAAGATGACATAGTCTCAAAAAAAAAAACTCTTTCTGAAAAAAAAAACTGTATTTATACCAACAATATCTAATCCTTTATACCAACAATATCTAATCCTAAGATCTTAAGAATAACCATCTCTATGCATTCAAAAGGGAATTAACAGTGCCACAAGGTCTTTCACCTTGTGAAAGGGAAATAATAGGATTTGTCTCTTTTCAGTTGCCTTTATATTCTTGTCATTTAAAAATATTAGTTACTGCCCCATAAGAAGAGTCTTAATACCTCTATTACAATTATACTGAGTTTCTTTTTCCAAAGTGTAATATACTTTCACTCAGTATCATCTTGATACATAGCTCCTCAACAATCTTTTAATCATTTCTCCTACTATTTTAATTATTGTTTAGAACGATTTTTGTCTTCTGTAATAGGATAGAATTGTGTTTTTCAAGACCTTTCAGCTTCTTCTGTAGCATAGAAAGCTTTAATTTGCAGACTTCTGATGTGATCATTCACTTCAGATATGAATGAAAGTCTTGCGGGTTACAAAAACAGATTTTTCCTGATTTTAAGACTTCCTGGATATCAGGATGAACTACAGACCCCTTTGGCTTCCTCTCTAAACTGCCATGAAAACTCCCTCTTCCTGGGTACTAACTATCGCCTGGAATGCCTTGCTTTTATATGTGCCTTGCTTCACTTGCCACATACCTGTAAATCTATTTTACAGTCTAGATAATGAAAACTATTTAATCAATATAAACTCCTTTGTACAAAAACCAACACAGTCCTTCACTAATCACAAGTACCAGTTGACAGAGTAATAAGTAATACCTTGTTTTTTGGTCTCCATGCCTTTTTCTGTCACTGCTGGATTACTACCCTCTGAGAGATAAAACAATGATTAGATTAAAACAATGAAAGAAAAGTTGTTCTTTCTCTGGGAGAAAATTTCATTGCCTAGGAATACACCCAGATCTTTTCCCAGTACTTCTGGAATACAACATGGTATAGTTTCTTAGCTTTGCCATCACATCAAGTCATGTCACCTCTCAAGACTTCAGTTCCCTCATACATAAAATGAGATCTGAAGTTCCTTTTAGATTTATGATCTATTAATTGATCCCCAAATTTGGATCTCATTACTAATGAATGTTCCTGGAACACCTGCTGGCATTTTCTGACTTTTTTTTCCTTTTTAACCAAGTTTTATACAAGATTTTTCAGTGAGTAATACTGTTGTGTTCCAAATGTGGCAGATAATTGATTTTGATTTAATGTTTGTCATAATAGTGCAGCACAAGCCTTTACTAAATTACATATTGCTTTTATAACTTAACTGGAATTGTGTACATAGATCACTTTTCCAACAATTCTCCCCTTTTTACTGGCAGATCATGGTGAATCCTCTGCCAGTAATAAATTGTGCATTGGGCAAGTCCGACTTCCACATTAAGAAGCTAATGACTTGTATTTTTTGAAACCATATTTGCCAAAACAGTCTCTTAGACACTTAGATTTTTTTAAAGCTCTATTTTCTTTGGCTGGCTTAAAATGTGAATTGAATAATCTCTTTGGTTCTGGTGGTTCTGATGCATCCATTGCCAGTGGTGGATGTTGGCCTGAGGAAATGTGACTTCCATTACCTAAGGATGAGGAGCTTCTAAATGATTATTAAAGATGTCCATCAAGAAGGTATGCACCTTGGACCTTGTGAAACCAGTCAAGCATGAAGTAGCATGTTCTTTAGATGACAAACAAGATACAGTTATTGTAAGAGTAATTAAAGTCTTTAAAACATTTTTTGGATATGACCCCAATGTGGCTTTCCATGGTTTAGAGAACTCCAGGTAGTTTCCTCATCAGTGATCAACAGTATAGTCAAAGTATAGTCAAAAAGGAGGAGCTACTGGTTCATACATAATCATAGCTGTGAAAAACACTGTTACAGATTTAGCTTAATAACGATGTGATTTCTTTTTTCATTGTTTTTTAACTATAGGTATAATATTAATATGTATTTCATTTCTTTTATAATACCTAAGGTTTACTAATCAATATCAAGATCAGTATTTTTTGAGTACATGAAGGTTTGTGGGATGGGGGAATAACTTTTGTGTTGTTTTAGCCTCATTCTGTTTATTGAAAAATAAAAGCTTCATGACCAATGACTTTGATTTGCCACACTTATGAATATAAAGAAAAGATACAAATGAACATTTATCTGTTTAATTAATTGTATAATTTAGCCAACTTTGAAAATTTTAAGTAAAAATATTTTATTCTTCCCATGAACTAAGTAAGTTAGGCAGGTCTGACTACAACTAAAAGAAAGAAGCAAAGCTTAGCAAAATAGTAAACTATATGAATAGTAACTTTGAGTTGGGATAATTGGGATTCAAGTGACCTCTGACATTTGTCCTCCTCCTTCTACTTTCTAGCTTATATCAAATGCATCAAGGTTTGGATAGAGTTTTCCCTTAAGCAGAAAACTGTGACAGCCACCAACTGGAAGCCCCTGCCATATTACCTATGCTTTGCCATGGCCCCAGTATACAGAGGACCTAGAGAAAGATAACTTTTGTCATACTTTTGACAAGAAATTTCAAAAATTACTCTCTGCTAAAGTCAGTGAACTGGCCTCTAAAGAAATCATGTGTGAAGAATGATTATGCCAGTTTTACAGATTAGGATTTTTCCATCATTTTAGCTGCCTTTTGAACCCTCCATGTTGCCTTGAAAGTTAGGGAGCTTAGAACCAGTCATACTGTGTACAGATTTAATGTTGAAACGACATTAAATCTGCCTATTATGTATTTGCCCTTTTGCATATTTTTAAATTTTCTTGTTATAAATGTTTGTTAGAGGGCAGTAAGCAATGATACTGCTAAAAGTTCAGGTTTTAAATTTCTTGCTTTTTCTGGTGTGTGATAAAGCTAGAAGAGTGAAGGAAGTACTGGCCATGTAGTGGGCAGATACTAAATAGTTATATGGTTGTCATGTCAGTACCTACTTGGTAATACTATATATGCCTCCCTCAATTCTCATCTATTTATTCTTCACTGATACCACTGTTGTCATAATCATATAGCTGAGAATATTTTAATACTAATATCACATTTTTTATTATAGCCATCCTTAGTGACATTTAATTGCTGTGAAAATGTTCATTTTTGAATAATTTGTTTCCAGGAACTAGTTGTTTACCAAATATTTTCTAGATCTGTATAGGTCATTAGAAATAAAGTTTCCATTTTTTTTAGGTAGCCGTATTCATTTTACAGTGATTAAAAAATTTATTTAAATTAATTGATATTTCTTCACTGAAAGCTTCGAGGAGAAAAGGTCATTGAGCATTTGTTTTCTTTTGTGTTATGATTTGTTCAGTGAACAATAACCCATTATATATAATATTTAATCTGAAAATTTCATCCTAAATGTACATCCTACTAATTTATTTCATAAAATACAATAATTTTTTTTTTTTTTTTTTGAGATGGAGTTTCCCTCTTGTTGCCCAGGCTGGAGTGCAATGGTGCAATCTTGGCTCACCGCAACCTCCGCCTCCTGGGTTCAAGTGATTCTCCTACCTCAGCCTCCTGAGTAGCTGGGATTACAGGCATGTGCCACCACTCCTGGCTAATTTTGTGTTTTTAGTAGAGACACGGTTTCTCCATGTTGGTCAGGCTGGTCTCGAACTCCCGACCTCAGGTGATCCGCCCACCTCAGCCTCCCAAAGTGCTGGGATTACAGGCATGAACCACTGCGCCCGGCCTCAGTAAAGTATTTTTTAAATAGGACTGTTGAAATTCAGAAGGCAAAGATATGATTGAGTCCATTTTATTAAGTTAAATTTTAAGTAAAAGGAGCCTGATTGGGGGACTAGCTGCCTTTTAACAACCCGTAGCGTTTTTTCAAATTCTACTAGTTCCCGTGCTCTGCAAAGAAAAAGTTTTTTCCACCAACGTATTCAATAGATCTATTTTTTATTGTTGCCTTAGGTAGGGAAGAAAACTTCATGTTTTTCATCTTTCATAATTGAATTGTTACAATTCACACTCTTAAATTAAGAGGAAAAACTCTAAAATATAAGGAGCATTTTTAGTTATTTTTAAACAAGGAAAGTCATTTATCTCTCTTAAATTGACAATGAAGTTGTTTTTCCCCCTTCTAATCTAAAACTTTAGGAAAATTTCAACATGGTTTATAAAAGGATTTTGTAGTTTGACTTTCTTTAACACAATAAGAAATAAATGTAAATATTGGCAGGACTATAAACCTCCAAACAGTTTTTTGTGATATAAGAAACTAGTATTTAACTATTAGTGCTGCCATCATAATTTCATTAGTGTGGCTTCTTTACACACTTTCTCCAGTGACGCAAATACAGACGTGATTTTTTGGAACATCAGACTTATGGCTGCCTTCTGTCTTCTTCATTACTTATGTTGGACACACTGTCATTTTCACTTGCCAAAAAAAATCCCACAGTTCAGTAGACTTCAGTTTTGAGGTCTTTCTTGTCCTTCTTAGACCACCAGTAGCTTTGTCTGTTGGCGATCAGAAATTGGACACTTCTTTTTGGTGTTTAACAAACCAGACTCTGTTACTTGACTTCTAAGGAAGAATATAGCAAAACAACGAATTTTCTAAGCAACATCACTGGAAACAACAGCAAATCCCTTGGGAATGCATTCTTTGGAACACAGGCCAAATTATTCTTTTTTATCAAGCTTTATGAGATTCGTATTAAGGTAGTGATAGTAAGTCTCAGAATCAGTTAAGATATTAGCAATTGTATATATTTTTCTTTACCCATATGCATATACAGAAATGACTAAAAATGCCAAATTGTATGTGTATCTGTGCTGTTCTGCTGTAAGCAGGCCCCAGAAACTAAGGTTCAAATTTGGAGCTTACAGGTTTAGGTTTCTATTATTCTTATACTTATTCTTATTATTCTTATAATTCTTATTGTGATATAATTCTTATTATTCTTATTATATAATTCTTATTATTCTTATAATTCTTATTATTCTTATAATCAATTCCATGAAGCTGATGTTCAAATAGAGGGCTTATCTAATTCTACCAACTTCCTTGTTCCCCATTCCTCCCTTCCCACGCATTGCTTCCCCTCACCTCCACCCAACATACACTTTCTTTGCTATATTTTAGGAAATTTTTTTTTCAACCTCATTCTCCTTGCTTCTCTTTTCTTGGCTTTGTAACTTATTTGTGTAACCTTTCCAATGACGTCCTGTGGATTATGCTAAAGTATAATAAATAAATCACATGCTTGAGTTTATAGAAAGACCTTATACCATCAAACCATAGTTAGTAGAAGCCAAGAGGTCTTTTTAAAGAACTATGACATTAACTCTGCTCTTCTTCTCTTTTTTCCTGGCACTCATATTTTTTTGTGGAATGTTTCAAACTCCTAACTTACCCCCTGTTATCCTAAATAATTGAATGAGATTTAATTATCAAGTTAAATTCCCAGCTGTGTCATTCAAGTAATCAGCTTTCTCCTCTATTATTAAAATTAATTTTGTTATTAAGTATGTTTTGCTTTTAAATATATTTCATTCAAGTCTTAGTTTTAGATATATATTTCAAAAGTGGTGTTAGTTTTAATTTCTTGCTTTCTTTATTCCAAACTTGAATCTGTTCACATCGGATGCCCCTAGCAAGTGGGCTTTTTTCTGTTTTTCTCTTTTTGGTCATTAAACTTATCTTCTACCTTCTTTGACTTCCAAACCTATTATAATGCACTTTTCAGAATATCTTTAAAATTGCCTCATGGAACAATATTGCTTTCAGAGGTATGGTTTTGAAGAGAATTCAAAGATGGTACTATTTATATTGATTCATGTATTATTTAGAATGCATTTAAGTATTCATTTTTACCTGAGTCTTAATAAGCTAAATTTTACTAATTTATAAGACAAAACAACAGTTACCAAGATAAGTATATAAATGGGCCTGCAAATGACCACATTGCCTTTGCTACCTCTCATGAGAGTCTTCTAAGTAACCTGTAAACTCAAAAGAAAGCCTTTGCATTCCTAACCTTATTTAACCTAGCAGGCTGTGAAAGGGGATGTGGGTATTTTCTCCGCCATAGCCAAAATAAGTGATTATGACTCTTTCCATAGCTATCTTTTCTGGACAGTTTTTTTGAAGTAAATAAAAATTAAATTTTTTTACATAAAATTTTCTTATTAAAAAAATGAGGATTAAATTTAATGATTTAACTTAATTTGGCAAGATCTGTGAGATGCAAGATACTCTGTTATATATAGTGTCCTTAACTTTGAAGACTTTTCATATTAAATTTGTAATAAATTTAGCTGTCACGTTTGTACATATGCATGCCTGGACTTAAACTCAGATTTTACTGGGAAATACAAAATCAGCATTTTGGAGGGGGAGGAGTATATCTGGACAAGCATATACTTAAAAGTTTGAGACAAGTGTACATATGATAGGTTATATAAAGATTTGTGTATATTTCTAAGTATTTGTACTTTTCATTTTAGACAAACTCTTATCCCATCTTCAAGATGTATATTTCAAAATAGCTATGGGAGAGAATTTTAAAAGTTCTTACCGCAAATAATAAATAATTGAGGTGACAGATATGCTAAATAGCCTAATTTGATTATTCCTCAATGTGTACATGTTTCAAAACAGCACATTATACACATAAACATGTGCAATTATTATTTGTCAATTAAAAATAAAAGTTAAAAAATGAACATCACAACTGGCTAATGATAAAAGAAGTGTGTGCAACAGCAATAGAGAGGTGATTGGGCTTTTTCCTGAGTGTATCTGGGTGTACTTTCCTTCTTATGCCACACGGGGTGAGAGGGAGGGTCCCATGCCATGACCCTGCCTCCTTTAAGGAGATAGAATCAAGGCCCTCAAATTGAACACATCAGTTTAGTGTTTCTTATCCTTGGGGATGGTGTGAAGAGAGGGGAGTTGACAGAGATTTGATTACATCTTCTCCCCTTAGAGCTTCACCAAGTGAACTTGGAATAAATGTTTAGTTATACATCAAGTCTCTTTCCTTTTCAAGTAAATGTGTCTTTATTTCTGTCATATTCTTTTCTTAGTGTTTTCATATTCTTAACCTGAACTCTGAGATTCACGTGTTTTTACTATTTTTGCAACGTATACACTTCTAAAATTGTCATTAGTGTTTGTACCAGTGTTGGGAAGATGTGTAATATAGTCCCAGGGAGGTTCTTGAATTAGATTTGATTTTTGTGTCTAAAGTGTTCAAATGGAATTGGACTCTTTGCTTATTAAAAGAACATTAATATAGCTATACTTAAGAATGGAACTCTCTGAAATCTTTGAAAAGATACCTATTCATATTGTTAACTATTCATTGTATGGCTTCCACTGGTATTTTAGTCATTTGAGTAATGTTTTCTTTCTTTTGGTGATATAAGAAGAGTGAGAATATGATCTCTGTTCTGTATACAGCAGAATTAGTAATGAATAAGCTCAAATGATGTAATTTGGGCTTATGTGGTATTGGATAAGACTAATTCTGTTAGGTCAATGTAAAATGGGTACTTTACTAGATTATTCTAGTGCTAGGCACATGCTAATTTTAAAGTAGAATAAGAACTTTTAAATAATGAGGCATCTGAAGGTCTTGTTTTAGATGGTATGTGTCGACATATAAAGGAGACATTTTTAATGATGAAATTATCTTATATCCTTTGCTTAGGGTGTACCAGTGATGGCAATAAGAAACAAAATGATATCAGAAGGACTAGACCCAGATCTTCTTGAGTAAGTAATTCTTCTAATATAATGATATTATTGCCAGGACATTGAATTTGTCAGTTATAATAAAAATATTTCAAATTCTCTGTATTTTTATTCCTACAGTGTTTTATGGTTGAGGATATCATCTTTGTAAATAGTGTGTCTGTTATGTTACCAAACAGAAAAATATCATATTCTACTAAGACCAGCCTTTACACATTTTAGGAACAGTTTCAATAGATTAGTAATTATTCTAGATATCCAAAGGAGCTGGAATTTAATGACAATTTTTTTTGCTTTTTTTTTTTTTTTCCTTTTTGTGCTACCTCTTTCTTGGCTTGATTGTTTTTTTGTTTATTTGTTGGTTTGTGCTTTTTTGGTGGGGGGGTGATTATTATGTACCAGGGGGTAGATGATTTCATGTAAGATCTTAGTTTGTAGGAAATTTAGTCTGCTATAATCTAGGTTAAGCCAGATTGAGAAATAAATAGGCTAAAGCTGTTCTGGGTCTATGTTAATGGTTATTAAGAAACTAGATACTAATTTATGTGAGTTTTTTTTAACCTTAAAGTATTTAATCCCTTATTGTGTGAATTTTATAAAATATTTTTGAGAAATGATAAAAAAAAATTGTGGCTCAGAAATTTGACAACAGTTTATTTCATCCAAGCAAATCTGGCTGTATAGTTCATCTTGGATAAAATATATCGTAATGCATTCTTCAGAAGAATTCTGTTTTGCAAGTATCTAGGTACTTGTAAAGAATCTTTCCAATTTGGGGCTGTAGTTCACCCCAATGTATTTAGCTGTGCACTCTAAGCATTCATTACTGTACTAGCAGTATACTTTGGAATTTTTCTTGGCTCTCAGTCCTCCAAGAAAATGTGTACACTTTGGAGGTAAAACATTATGAAGTAGTCTTTTTCTCATATTTTATCTGCCAAAATATGAAATTTATGAATTCTTTTAAAGTCTACAAGAACAAATTTCAAACATATATCTACATTTGGCATACATCCAAGTAGCAAACAGTTCAAGTACAATGGCATAGCTTGGCAGCTTGAACTGAAGCATCTCCGAGATATTTGGCATTTGTTGTGGAAATTGTTCCTGACACAGACTTTAAAAGCCAGACGGCTTGTGATATGTATTTTAATGTGAATCAGACATATAGGTTCAATCCATTTTGGTATTCATTGCAATATATAGGTTGTAAATATATTTAACATTAACTGTGACCTCCTTTTGCTTCTGGAAATACACAGTTAGACCTCCTATAATAACAGAGAGCTAAAATTACCTTTAAAATGATTATCTTTTTCTAGAGAAAATATAATAAATGGAAAACTAGCACCCTATAAGCATCAGCATATGCTGGATATCCAAGCCTTTTACCTGCTACTGGCTTCATTTCATCCCCTGTCCAGCCTAAACCTACTTCATAATCCTTTACTTCAGCCAGCTACCTGCACTAGCAACTTGATAATCATCCTTGATTCTGTCTTCTTCCTTACCCACTACAGTGTCAATCACTATGATGTTCTCATTTTTAATATCTCTCACATCTCACCATATGCCTCCATATCCATTGCCGTTTAGTTCACGCCCTCATCGTTTGTAATCTGAATTACTATAGTAGCTACTGATTGGTTTTCCTGTTCTCTTTCAAGCCATCCACTAAAGCCTGAGTGGATCTCTTCATACTTCATTCTTGCTTCACATCTTCCTGTGACTCTCCACTGCCTTCAACGTGTAGTCTAACATCTTAGTATTGCATAGAAATGGTTTTATCATCAAGATTCAGATTCTCTCACTAGCTTCCTCTCTTGTGATTCTTTCACATATGCCTATTTCATATAGCCATAGCAAACTACTTGCAGTTCCCTGAATGTAACATTTTCCTATTCCCTTTTGGTGTCGTTAAATGTTTTCCTTTCTCTCTGTGGAACTCCCTTCCCTCATCTTACTGGCCTGGCTAACCTATTATTCTTTAAGACTCCATCAGGTATCACCACCTGATAGAGTCCATAGGTAACTACCACGGAGGAAGATCCCAGGCCCTTCAACATTTCCTTGTGTCTCACTTGGCCAGTTTGAGGGTATTTCGTTGTCTATGAATGTTGAGAAACATTCAGTTGTGAGGTAGTGCCAAGTTTAAGGGTAGAATTCCAGTAACAATTAACATTGTCTTACAGAAAAGCTGCTCCTCAACCACAGCCTAGAGCCTGAATTCTGCCCCATTACCTCATATGCACATGCCATTGGTCACCAGGGGCACTGGTTGGAGTGGGGGTGACTCAATGTAACCTATCACCACTACTAGCAACCCAGTTTCAACTGCATTTAGCTAGATGTGATAAGTGCAGTCAACTACCGTGTTAACAGAGGAATTATGATGCTTTTGGAATCATGTTTACATAAAAGTTACGGAGCCTCACTTCAGGAGAAAAGTATGAGATGATGAAAGAGAAGAAAATGTGCCATCCAAGGGAAGAGTACACTTTTATTTAGAATCTTAGGTACATTTTAAGCCTCAGCCAAGAACTTTCAGTAAAGATTGTTCTGTGTTCTTTTTTCTTTTAAAGTATAAACATACACTTTATTTTTTATTAGCTTTAGGTAGTAAGACAAACTCATATAACTGTTGGAAGAAATGGCCTACCTCTATCTGCACTGAGCAAAGGGCAAAACTGAGGTTAATATAGAAATAAATACTGATCAGAAAAATATTTATAGTTGATTGGCTTATGTGTATAAAATTGGAAGCTGAGAGTACATAATTTTAAATCAAAAATATTTACATGATAAGGGAGAAGAGATCCTGGCAATTTTCCTAGAAAAATGACTATTACAGAATTTTAGGAATTCTATAAAACTGTAGAAAATGCCTGATAATTACTAAATAAATATTGGATTTGATTCTTCTAAGTGATTGTTTGTTTTTAAAAATTCAAGTTTTTGAAAATAATCATTTATATATAACCAAGAATTAGTCCTGTTTAGCTTCTAAAAATTAATTTCAGTACCACCGAGATAAAAAGATATGTGAAAGAATATTTGTCACCAAAATACTCAAAAGAGTTAAGGGGAAAATGGAAAATTTTAATTGGTCTTTGGCCAAAGGTTAATACATTCAGAAATATAGAATGGGTATATCGCGCCTTAAATATTCTTTCAATCATTGCCTAGGTTTTCTTGCTTAGAAAAAAAGAAAAAAGTTTCACCCCATCCTGGTCTGTACACTTACATTTATGTCCCTGAACTAACATTACTGTTGTTACCTAGTAATTGCTACTTTTACAATTCTAGGATAAACAGACTAGCTTCTGGACTTGCCCATCAGCAAGCCATGAAATTCATGATAGTTAAGGCTCAGGATAAGGCCGGCTTTAGAGATGGTCTACTTACTTGTATTCAGATGGTCTACCTACTTGTATTACTTGCCACTTTCTAGTTGTGTAACCCTGGTTTGATTACCTAACCTCTCTGTGCATCAGTTTTCTCATCAGTAAAATGGGAAATAGAAGAGTTCACTCCCTTACAGAGTTGTTCAGACTAAGATAAACAATGTTGTAAGCACTCAGCACAGCTCTGGATAAGCAGTAAATGTTTAATAAATATTAGTTGTGATTTATGAATGTTTTAATGGAGGAATATGTAGCAAATTCTAGGCAATGGATTTATCAGGCTTTTGGATCATAACTTGTTTATAATCCTGTAGTTGCCTATATACTATTATGTTCTCAACAAAGACATATTTAACATATACAGAGTAGTTATCTTTTTAAATTATATTGTTTTCTCAAACTGAGAACCTATATTGTTAACTTTCCTGTAAAGAACAGATTTCTGAAATTGAAATTCAATTGAACATACTCCTAACCTTAGTGGGAGGGTGCAGTGTGCAGCTTATTGATTTGGCTAAAGAAAGCATATAATTGAGTTCAAGTTACTCTGCAGACTTTGAACAGAACCAGCTCAGTTGGCATTTCTCCTGGATATATCTATCCAAAAGACATTTATACCATCCTCCCAGATGGTGGAATGACCACTCTTATAGTTGCCAGAAATAAAAGTAGCCACCTTAGCCTACTTATCACTGAGACAAGAGGGGATTTATTATTGTTAAACAAAAGGATACTGGAAAGCAAAAAACTTTTTTTACATGGCATGCCCAGCAGATTTTCCTGCCCTCTAAGATCATTCCTTATCTGCCAGGAGGATCTTTACCTCCTGCTATACAACAACATAGTGGATTAAAGGTTGAGTTTTGGCCGGTTGAGGATAGATTAGATCTCAGTTGCACAACTGGACATCCAAAAATAGGGTTTTTACTGTTTCCGTTTTGTTAGTTTTTGCTGAGCTAGGTTCTCCATTTAATGTAATTACCAGTCCTCATTCATTAGCTGGCAGACACTAGCTAGAAAGTATAGGACAAATAAAAACCATATCAAAAAATTGTAATTGGTCTGCTTTTAGAGAACTTGATCATAAGAATGAGAGAGATAATAGATATATCAAAGAGGAGATGTTAAAAAGCAGTTGTGGTCTGTGAGTGGCTAGCAAGCAAGTGACAGAGTTGCTGCTGGGAAATAAAGGATCCCAAGATCAAGAGCAAAAGTCCATCCTACCTAGAACAGCTGCTTTTCTTTTTCTTCATGATATTAGGCATTAAATTGTTTTCCTGGTTGCAGGAGTCTACCTACTAAGACAAAGAACAGAATATACCTGTCTTGATGAGAATTCAAAAGAGAAAAGACCAAATTGATCTCACTAGCTGCTATAATTCAAAATCAAAATTGTTACATTTTTAATTACCCAGAGGTTCTTATTAAGTCAATACAATCTCAGTTCAAGAATCTTAGTGTTTTGGTGTTTTGTTTGTTTTTTGTTTTTGTTTTTGTTTTTGTTTTTTGAGATGGAATTTTGCTCTTGTCGCCCAGGCTGGAGTGCAGTGGTGCAATCTCACCTCACTGCAACCTCTGCCTCCCGGGTTCAAGCGATTCTCCTGCCTCAGCCTCCCAAGTAGCTGGGATTACAGGCACATGCCACCATGCCTGGCTAATTTTTATATTTTTAGTAGAGACAGGGTTTCACCATGTTGGCCAGACTGGTCTCGAACTCCTCACCTCAGGTGATCCACCCACCTCGGCCTCCCAAAGTGCTGGGATTACAGGTGTGAGCCACCACGCCTGACTCTCTTAAGACCACCTATTGCCATCGCATAGCTCTGACAGACCATTAATTGACAACAGTACCATGTGACTTTATAACTTTATGTGTGTGTAGTTTCCATCAGTGATTTGAATAATAACTACCTCATCATCTCCTATTCAGCAATATTTTTACTGACAATGTTTTTGCTACTTAATCTGCTTTAAATTCAGTGTCTTTAAGTGTCTAGAAAATGAAAAATGTTTTTAAACTCTTTATCATACATGTTTTTCCAAAGAATGTTTGGTTTTTCTGTCCTTAAAGTAGCTAGTTTTAAACACAAATATAAATCTTCCTCTAATGAAAACAAATTAAACCAACAATAATGGTATTTTAGGACTCTCTTCATATTTAGGATGGCAGAAACCAACTCAAACTAGCTTATATAAGAAGGGAAGTTATGGACTCTCATAGCTGAAAAATCTAGGTAAGGACAGGATCTAGGGACTCAGTGTCATCAGGGCTGGCTGACTGGCATTCTCCTCTCCCCACCTCATTCTACCTTTACTTCCTTGGTGTAATAAACCGTGTCTCTCCTAGTGCTAATGGGTTTCCTCTCTGAAGCCTGGGAACATAGCTCCCCAGCAAGGCTTTAATATTGCTGTTTTTCCAGTTGAACAGAGAGAGAGTTCCCTCTTCTCCATAACCCATAGTTCATTTAAAAGGAAACATTCTGACTAGCCCTGCTTGAATTGTGTGCCTTTCCTCGAATCCATCTCTCTCTCTCTCCAAGGGAATAGATTCCTGTGATTGGCCAGGCCTAGACTGTGTGACTGAAACAAGGAAGTGGATAGGGAAAAGATGAGGACAGCAAGGATTCTAGTTGACAACCTTCATTGATTCACATCAATGGGAGAAGAACGGGTGTCAAAATTAGAATGTGCACAGCATCTGGTATGCTAAAAAGGGCAGATTTGTATATACTTCGTCCTTCCTGCTGCGCCTTTGTATATTTTGGCTCATTTTTAGTTGAGGTCAACCTAGTAACTTCTTTGAAAAGATATATATTTTTAAGATAGTTTAGACTTAGTAATTAGCTTAAACTTAAACTTTTTAAAAATTTGCTTTTGTTAAGAATTTTACTGATAATTTTGGTGTCACAAATATAAATATGCTTATTAAAATGTAGCCACCAAGCTAGTGTTTTTATTGTAACCACCAAAGATTGAAATTTTTAAAAAATATACATGATATTCATGATGTATATTTTTCTGTATTTTGTTGATGTAATCTTTTTTGGAAATTCACTTATGTATTTAAAATAACAAGAGACTATTATAAAGTCCTAATTTCCAAATTTTAGTAGTAAAGTGTGTTTTCTTTGAATTGGGAGAAGCTAAACTTTAGTAGTTTAAGGTAGCAACTTTTTCAAATATGTCTTAAAATTTCTTTCCATGAAAAACAACTTGTAGGGTGAAGTAAGAACATTTATGATCATAATATGCAGAGCCAAATTTCTGTTCCCCTTGAAAATATGAATATCCCGCCTGGAAATGATGGTATTGCTGTGAGTTTTATTATTACTAGTAATATTTATAAGGCTTTACAACTTATAAAATGCTTTCCTATAAATTACCTCATTTGATTCTTGTGGCTTGCTTTTCTTTTTTGTACCCAAAGAGAACTAGTATGCACTTTTTCTTTTGTTCTCCTGGCAATTCCAATTTTTTGAACATGAATGAGGGGGCCAGCCGCGGTGGCTCATGCCTGTAATCCCAGCACTTTGGGAGGCTGAGGCGAGCAGATCACCTGAGGTCAGGAATTCGAGACCAGCCTGGCCAACATGGCGAAACCCTGTCTCTACTAAAAAATACAAAAATTATCTGGGTGTGGTGGCACTCGCCTGTAATACCAGCTACTCAGGAGGCTAAGGCAGGGAGAATTGCTTGAACCTGGGAGGTGGAGGTTGGAGTGAGCCAAGATGGTGCCACTGCACTCCAGCCTCACTAAATAAATAAATAAATAAATAAGACTTCATCTCTAAATAAATAAATAAATAATAAAATGAATGAGGAGCCAGGTGCAGTGGCTCGTGCCTGTAATCTCAACACTTTGGGAGGCCAAGGGTGGAGAATCACTTGAAGCCAGGAGTTCTAAACCAGATTGGGCAACAAAGTGAGACCTCATCTTTACAAAAAGTTAAATTAGCCAGGCGCGATAGAGTGTATCTGCAGTCCCAAGTACTTGGGAGGCTAAGGCAGGAGGATCACTTGAGCCCAGGAGGCTGAGGCTATAGTGAGCTCTGACCGTGCCACTGCACTCCAGCCTGGGCAACAGAATGAGACCTTGTCTCCAATAAATAAACAAACAAAGACAATAAGTACTGGTAAGGATATGAAGAAATTGGAGCCCCTGTGCATTGTTGGTGGGAATATAAAATGATGCAGCTGCTACAGAAAAGAGTATTGTGATCCCTTAAAAAATTAAAAATAGAATTATTCAGCACTTCCACTTTTGGGGATGTACCCAAAAGAATTGAAAGCAGAGTCTCAAAGAGATATTTGTATACGCATGTTCATAGCAGCATTTTTCACAATAGCCAAAAGATAGAAGCAATGGAAGTAAGTATCCATCAGTGGATGAATAGGAACAATTATGGTATATACATACGGTGGAATATTACTCAGCCTTAAAAAGGAAGGAAATTCTGACACATGCTACAACATAGATGGACTTTTAGGACATTGTACTAAATGAAATAAGCCTATCACAGAAGGACAAATATTTTATGATTCCACTTGTATGAGGCATCTAGAGTAGTCAAATTCATAGAGACAGAAAGAATAGTGGTTGTCAGCAGCTGGACGGATAAGGGAATGTTATTAAATGAGTACAGAGATTCAGTTTTGCAAGATGAAGAGAGTTCAGGAGATGGATGGTGATGATGGTTGTACAACAATGTGAATGTACTAAACACTACCGTATACTTAAAAATGGTTACAATATTAAATTTTATGTTATCTGTATTTTACAATAAGAAAAATTAAAAAAAGAAAAAAATGAAGACAGACAATAACAAGTGTTGCTGACGGTGTGGAGAAATTGGAACCCTCATACATTGCAGGTACAAATGTAAAATGGTACAGCTGCTGTGGAAAAGTTTGGCAGTTCCTCGGAAGGTTAAAGAGAGTTTCCACCTATTGCTCCTGCTAGATGTTCTAATCTCATCTACTGTTGCACCCCAGTGTACTTTACACTCTAACTAACAAATGACTTACAGTTTCTGAATGCAGCCTGCTACACCATCCCATTTTATTCTTTACCCAGAATGCTGTCATTCTCTTTTATTTCCGCCTTCTCTGTTTCTGGCAAAGTCTTACTCGAATCACAAAACTCTTCGCAAGTGTTTCCAACTATTTGGAGTCTTCTCTGACCGACTTCAGCAGACTATTTTTTCTTTTCACACAAACAGTTCAGCCTTATTTGTATATATACAGCCGTGCATCGCTTAAGGACAGGGATATGTTACAAGAAATGCATTGTAGGTGATTTTGTCATTGTGCAAACGTCATAGAGTGTACTTACACAAGCCTAAATGGTATAGCGTACTACACACTTAGGCTATAAACCTGTACAGCATATTACTATACCAAATACTGTAGGCAATTGTAACACAATGACAAGTATTTGTGTATCTAAGCATATCTAAACATAGAAAAAGTACAGTAAAAATGCTGTATAAAAAGTGAAAAATGGTACCTGCATAGGGCAGTTACCATGAATGGAGCTTTCAGGACTGGAGTTGCTCTGGTCACCTAGTGAGTGAATAGGGAGTGAATATGAAGGCCTAGGATGTTATTATACACCACTGTAAATTTCATAAACACTGTACACTTAGACTACACTAAATTTATTTTTAAAAATTTTTTCAATAATAAATTAACCTTAGCTTACTATAACTTTATCAACTTTTTACCTTTTTAACTATTTTGTAATACTACTTAGCTTAAAAGACAAGTCATAAATTTTACAGCTATACAAAAATATTTTCTTTCTTTATATCTTTATTCTATGAACTTTTTATTTTGACTTCTTAAACTTCTTTGCCAAAAACTAAAACACATACAAGGCCTAGTCATGTCAGGATCATCAATATGACTGTTCTCCATATCCTGTCTGACTAAAAGGTCTTCAGGGGCAATAACAGGCATGAATCTGCTATTTTCTATTGTAACAATGCCTTCTTCTGGAATATCTCCTGAAGGACCTCCCTGAGGCTGTTTAACGTTAACTTTTTTTTCAAAAAGTAAGTAGGAGTACCCTCTAAAATAACAACAGAGGCCAGGCACAGTGGCTTACACCTGTAATCCCAACACTTTAGGAGGCTGAGGCAGGTGCATCACCTGAGGTCAGGAGTTCGAGACCAGCCTGGCCAACATGGAGAAACCCCATCACTACTAAAAATACAAAAATTAGCTGGGCATGGTGGTGCATGCCTGTAATCCCAGCTACTCAGGAGGCTGAGGCAGGAGGATGGCTTGAACCCTGGAGGTAGAGATTGCAGTGAGCCAAGATTGCACCACTGCACCCTAGCCTGGGTGACAGAGCAAGACTCTGTTGAAAAAAATATAAAATAAAATGAAATAACAACAGAGGCTGGACGCTGTGGCTCACGCCTGTAATCCCAGCACTTTGGGAGGCTGAGGCAGATGGATCACTTGAGGTCAGGAGTTCAAGACCAGCCTGGCCAACATGGTGAAACCCGCTCTCTACCAAAAGTAAAAAAATTAGCCAGGGGTGGTGGCGCATGCCTGTAGTCTCAGCTACTCAGGAGACTGAGACAGGAGAATCTCTTGAACCCAGAAGGCAGAGGTTTCAGTGAGCCGAGATCACACTACTACTCTCCAGACTGGGCAACAGAATGAGACTTCTGGTCAAATAAAATAAAATAACAGAAAGTACAGTATAGTAAATACTAGGCGATAGAGGTTTCTCAGCTCCATTATAATCTAATGGGACCACCGTCCTATGCAGTTCATCACTGATTGAAACATCATTATGTGGCACATGGCTGTCTCACATTCTGTAACAATTTGTTTGCATTTCTGTCTCCCTCACAAAAATTTTAGCTGCTTCAGGGAAGGAACTACTTGTTATTCATCTCTGTATCTCCAGTACCTAACACATTTTCTAGCAAATAGTAGATGCATGATGATGAAAATAAATCATCATAATAACAGCAGATAATATTTATCTGATACTATGTGCCAGATATTATCGAACACACTTTACATTTATTAATTAATTTAATCATCACAAAATCCAATCAATCAGTCAGACACAAAGTAGTTAAATAGCTTCCCCAAAGTTGGCCAACAAGTAAGAAACAAGGATGGGATTTTAGCACAGTCTGTACCCAGAGCCTATATTCTTAGTTACTATGTAATATAGCATCACATGTATCAATAAATGGTTACACACATAAATTAATGAATTTTATAGTTTCAGTTTCTTCTGGTCCTAAGCTGCTTTTACCCTTTTCCTTTTTTTTTTGAGACAGGGTTTCACTCTGTTGCCCAGATTGGAGTGCCCAGGCATGGTCACAGCTTACTGCAGCCTCTGCCCCCAGGCTCAAGTGATACACCTCAGCCTCCAAAGTAGCTGGCACAGTAGGCCACTACTGGCTAATTTCTCTATTTTTTTGCAAAGGATGGTGTTTTGCCCTGTTGCCCAGGCTGGTCTTGAACTGCTGGGCTCAAGCAAAACGCCCTCTTCGGCCTCCCAAAGTGCTGGGATTACAGGCATGAATCGACATCCCTGGCCTACCCTTTTCTAAAGTAGCATTTATTTTAGGAAGTTATGTACATTGTTGTATTTGTTTGAGTTGTCATAGGTACTAATACAATTTTGATGTGGTATTAAAATAATTCCCACTGGTAATGTTTTCCTACTTAACAAAGTATAGACAGTAAGAAATCAAATATATAGCAAAGAGAAATTTACTGGGTAAAATGTGCCTAGTATTCATACCCACTAATTCTAGAGTTGTTGCTTCTAATGAAAAGGGAGGAAGATGATGGTCCCATGTTAGTATTTTAGGCAGATGGAGCATCAGTCAAATCCTGGAACTGCTGTACCCAGCTTTAAAGTTTCACTGTATTGACTACATAATGCTTCCTTGTAGATATAATCTAAAATTGTTCAGCAGAGCAAATGGGTTTATATTTGACAACTAGGGAGCAATGCCAGCATTATTTTCTCTTTTGTAGTATGCCAAATATATTTAAAAATATAAGCCATAATTTTAATACCTAAAGTAACTGTTAGACTGTGCATTTTCTTATTTTAGTAATAGTAATTTCTGTTTGTGGTGAATATGAGTTTTATTTTTAAGTGTCCTAAATGTTTAATAAGAGTCAAGCCTGAGGGAGAAATCAGTCTGGTAGTTTGTAATTATTAAGATACAGCAGTTATAGGCCAGGCACGGGCTCGCATCTATAATCCCAGCACTTTGGGAGGCCAGAGCGGGTGGATCACAGGGTCAGGAGATCAAGACCATCCTGGCCAACATGGTGAAATCCCGTCTCTACTGAAAATACAAAAATTAGCTGGGCGTGGTGGCACACACCTCTACTCGGGAGGCTGAGGCAAGAGGATGGCTTGAACCTGGGAGACAGAGGTTGCAGTGAGCCGAGATCACACCATTGCACTTCAGCCTGGTGACAAGAGCGAGACTCCATCTCAAAAAAAAAAAAAAAAAAAAAAAAAGATGTAGCAGTTATATTGTTACTCCTTTTCCTCTTGGTTTCCCCCCCAAAAATACTTTTCTTGCTTAATTTACTTTCTTGGTAAGAGTGAATAGAGGCTAAGTGATAATGCCACTACACTGATTAAATGACTTACTGGCACAAAACTATTGAGGCTTAACTAGTTGACTGTTTTAATAACATCATTAAAATTTCATTTTGGTTTATTAGAGCACATCCATGCAAAGTTGGAATCTAACCATTCTCATGTCTCCTTATAATGCCTAGGGGATCTTTGAAACAGTATTTTTGCCAACTCATACTTTCTATTTTCATTCTGTAAAGATAAAACATGTAAGTGAAAACGTTTAACAAACATTAAGAACCTTCTTCGACCAGGCACTCTCCTTCGCTACAAAATTTCCACATTACCTATTTTTTTATTAGCCATTTTTGAACTCTCTTCCATTTCTAAGTTTCTCCCTGCAGCTTTCCTGAACATGAAGCATTTCCTTTTCTTTTCATTTCTAGCTTTCCTTTCTCTGTACCTCATGTACACTTGGAAGCTTCAGGGACTTAGCACTGGTCATGCCAGCCTCTACAGATCACATCTCTGTCTATAATTGGGTCTCCATGGTAATGAGAAGCAGAAAGTGCTGAAGTAGCGCACTATGTAAGGACTGGCAAGAGAAAATACTGTCGCGGCCTCTACAGGCATAGCATTGAATCCCCATGGTGCCCAAGAAGCCCGAGAGAAGCACGCTGTGGTGTAGAGCAGGAGACTGAGGACACGGACTTGGCAGATTTATTAGCAGCAATATTCTAAGATGAACCAAATTTAAGAGTTTGTAAGTGCTCTTTTCAATTGGAAAAGACCTTTGAAATTTTTTTTTCTTTTCTTTTAGGAGGCCAGATGCTCCAGTGCCTGATGGCGAAAGTGAGAAAACTGTAGAAGAAAGTTCAGATAGCGAATCTTCTTTTAGTGATTAAGCTTAATTTTGATAAGAATTACATATGCATGCATAGGGGTACATTTACATTCTGTAAGAGATTGAGCCTGAACTCTCTTAGTCATAAAAACATCAAATGGCCACATGTCCACTACCAAGCTTCTTCTATGTTAAAAAAATAATAATAAAGCAGTTTTAACCTGCCAGTATGTCTTGTTGCTAAAATAAAGGGCCTCAAAATGAAAAATAGGATAACCTAAATAAAGTACAATTAGTGCTACAAATACTAAGATAGAATATTTTAGAGATGCAATGAGCAATTACAGTCAGGCACGGTGGCTCACGCCTGTAATCCCAGCACTTTGGGAGGCCGAGGCGAGTGGATAACCTGAGGTCAGGAGTTCAAGACCAGCCTGGCCAACATGGTGAAACCTCCATCTCTACTAAAAATACAAAAAGTAGCTGGGCGTGGTGACAAAAATTAGCTGGGCGTAGTGGCAGGTGCCTGTAATCCCAGCTACTCGGGAAGCTGAGGCAGGAGAATCACTTGAACCCAGAAGGTAAAGGTTTCAGTGAGCTGAGATTGCGTCATTGCACTCCAGCCATGGCGACAAGAGTGAAACTCTGTCTTAAAAATAAAAAGAGATGCAATGAGCAATTTTAAATGAAGTCAGTGTGAGTTTAGTGATCAATAGTAGACCCAATGCAAAAAAAAAAAAAAAACAGTGAATTTGGCTAAGTGAATTATTCAATTTTTGTGAATATTTTAGCATGAAAAGTATATGGATTCATATCATGAGTTGTTAAAGACATTTCTGGTA
This sequence comes from Homo sapiens, assembly GCF_000001405.40. Taxonomy (NCBI): domain Eukaryota; kingdom Metazoa; phylum Chordata; class Mammalia; order Primates; family Hominidae; genus Homo; species Homo sapiens. The sequence continues at coordinate 102,012,326 of NC_000012.12, read as the reverse complement.
GAAAGTAATACTGGGTTGAAATTTCTTTGACAACTTAAAACTTACATATCACATATGTTATGGGTATGGAACTTTTTGGTAGTATTTTTTAGCATATGCAGCCTTTCACCACTTGGCCATTAGTTCATGTGTTTTTTAAGTCAGATATTCTTATGCAGTCATGCATTGATTAACAACAGGGATATGTTCTGAGAAATGCGTCATTAGGCGGTTTTATTGTACAAACATTGTGGATTTCATAACAAGTGTACTTACACAAACCTATTGCTTCTAGGCTACAAACCTGCACAGCATGTCACTGTACTGAATACTGTAGGCAGTTGTAACACAGTGGTATTTGTGTATCTAAATGTAGAAAAGGTGCAGTCAAATATGGTTTTATAATCTTAGGGGATGTTGACCAAAACATTATGCAGCACTTGACTATATTTATTAGCAGATGGAAATTGAATTGAAGGTCGTTTCAGTGTGGTTCATAATGAGTAACCATCGTTGCCATCAACTCCTGTATTACCTAAACAAAAAAAAATGTGTGCAGGATTAAAATGTTCTCACCTCACCTTGCAAATAAATAATTATTATTCATAGTTATTTACACACAGTCTAGAAAATTCCTAAAGTACTTATGTGAAAAATATATAAATGCATTTAACTAATTGTGCCCATTTTAGTTTAGTTCACCTGCAAGTAGAGCCTGAGAAAAGGACTTGGGTGTATACAGGTCATTCACAAGGTGATCCCAGAAAACAGAAGTAAAAAAACAGGGAGAGGAAAAGGGAGAAAACCACTTAAAAGTTTATTATCGGCCAGGTGAGGTAGCTCATACCTGTAATCCCAGCACTTCGGGATGCTGAGGTAGGTGGATCACTTGAGGTCAGGAGTTTGAGACCAGCCTGGCCAACATGGTGAAACCCTGTGTCTACTAAAAATACAAAATTTAGCCGGGCGTGGTGGCATGCACCTGTACTCCCAGCTACTGGGAGGCTGAGGCAGGAGACTCACTTGAACCCAGGAGGTGGAGATTGCAGTGAGCCCAGATGGAACCACTGCACTCCAGCCTGGGTGATAGAGTGAGACTCTCTCAAAAATAATAAAAAATTTAAGAAGTATGTTATCAAGATTGCCAGTTGGGGTTTGAGTGCTCCAAGACCCTCTGAGAAGCTTTCAGAATGCCTCCCAAAATTTTCCACCTAATAAAACTGGGAACATTAATTAAGCAATTTCCATCCCCCGTTAGTTGAGTTGCCTCCAGGGGCATTAATTATCCCTGCACTTCTGGGCTGTGCTTCTGTGTGGAAAAGCAGCACCCCAGTGTTGAAGAAAGACTTGGAACAGGAAGCAGAAAGATACATGGCTTCGGCTTGCAGTGGGATTTCACAAGCAGAAAGGACAAGTCCAAGCTTACTCACCTAGAACTATCCATGTAGCTGTGACTGATACCGGAAGTGGACGAGGGAATGTGCAAAAGAGATATTTGCTGCAGTCTACCCAAATGCAGTCAATTCAGAACTGATTGAGTCCCATGTTAAGTCTACTTTGTCTTTTGTCTGTGGGATAACACAAGGTGATGGCCAGCCACAGTCTTTCTAAAATCTACACATGAAGATTAGTGAGACAAGCCACAATTACTGTCACTATGACTGAACGCAAGGCCAAAACTGGTACTTATCATCTTCTTCCACCACCCATTTTACATTTCTCCTGCTCTATATCAGAAATTCCGCTGGTCTAGGCTGGTTGTCAAGCATAGTGACCCAGACCTTCATCCTTTAAGTTTTCTAGGGCTTTGATTGCTTTGCCCTGTTTAGGCTATGATTATCACAGTCATCTGTTTGCTGTTTCTTACCAGGCACTGAAGCACCACGACATGCCCCAGTGAACCACCTGCGTTCTAGACACATTCTTCCTGTTTCATTTTGTAATCACAACCCTAGCTCCTCATGTTAACATATTACTTCCTATTTTTGTCCCACAGACATGAGCAGTCCCAAGGGACCGATTGGCAGCAGTAGATTCAGCTTAGTGGAATCCTTACTGTGCTCCCCCATGGAAGTGTGCTAGTTCCTTCCCCCTACCCCATCTGGGAACTGGGACTTCCAGGAAAGTCTGAGGCGGCAGGGATGGGAAGCACAATTACAAAAGAATGTCACTGAGAATGGTGGAGAAGGATCATTCCTATTTCTTTTCTCTTGGTTCCTGGATCTGTGAATCCTGGCAGCTGAGGACATGGCATCATATGCTAGCCATTTTTGTAGTGCTTTTACCACATCCTAGAGATTAGCACTTCAACCTTGCAGAATGTCATCTCTGAGATGGTGACTACAATGAGCCTATAATAGACCATTTCATTGTTCTATTTGATTGATTTCTTCTGGATGATGCTGTATGCGGTAAGACAAGTGGATCCAACAATTCATGCGCCTGTTGTTAGTCATTTACTACAAAATAATCCCAAGATCTGAGGCAGTGTAATGCGAGATACCATGTTGGTAATAGACATCCTGTAGGCTATCAGAGGGTAATGCTGGCAGAGGTGCTGCTGGAAGGAAAGGAAAGCCCCTATTAAGAGTAGTAATTAATTACAATAAGAAAGAATTACTCCTCTTCCAGGGTGGAAGGAATTTAATGCAAATAAATTGCTCCCAAGTGACTGGTTAACCTCTTCAAGGAATAGTACCAAATCATTGGTCTCTGCTGCCGACAAATAGGGTATTCAGCAGTAGCTGAATCCTAGCTCATCTAGCTCATCACTAGATGAGCATTAGTGTGGAAGCCCAAGCTGTTGGGCCCAAGCATAGCCGGCATCTCTGCTGCCACGATTACTCCATTTGTGGGCTCATTGTATAACCTGGGGCAATCAAGGACAAGGCTGGCTGACATCTACTGGAGAAATCATCTTGTCCACCTAATTTTTGCCTCCTCAGGTGAGTGTTTTCTTTCTGGCATTTCATCCTACAAAAATCTCCACACTTTGGACACATTCCCATAGTTTTGTCCACATTCTTCATCCTTAAATCTCACTTTCTCTAATCTTCCAATATTGCTCCCTTCTTATCCCTGACCAGCCAAACCAGTTACCAAGATCAAAAGTCTGTAGTATTTAACTCAGGCCATGTGCTTCTTCAGCAACATCATGACAAAGTGTACTGTTTGAAGCTCTGTCCATCAGGAAGATTATTTTCCTCACCACTAATTGTTAGAGCCACCTCTGTCAGAGGCAGCAGTGTGGCAGCAAGCCATTTTTGCCTACACCAATATATATCAAGCTTGTCCATGCATCAACAAGGTCCACTGTTTGCTGTCAGCTAGTGAGATAATATTGCAAAAGTAGCTTCAATTATTCACTTTCTCCCTATTGCATGCCTTTTGCTATATATTTGCATTGCCCTCCCCCTCTGAGTAGAGCATTTGGCCTTAACTTTGGATTCTGAACTTAGCCAATGGAATATTAACAAATGTGATCCAAGCAGAGGCTTGACAAATACTTGGTTGGTCTTGCCTTCTCTTGTGGCTCTGTTATTGACATAAGAACTTGACTTGGATAGTCTAATGACGATGAAAGATGCATGGAGCAGAGATGAGTTGTTCCATTCATATATCAGCCAACCCAAGACATGAGCAAGACCAGCCAAGATTGGAAGACCTACCTAGCCAATTCTCAGCTGGCTGTGGATGTGAATAATAAATGCTCACTGTTGATTATCTTACAGTTTTTTATTGTTCTTGGTTGTTACCACATAATTGTAGCAATAAATAACTGATACAGTTGACCATTGAAGATTCTGCATGAGATCATACAAGTAGGTTGAAGAATAGGCATTAGTGTTAAGAGATGTAAATGATATGGGAAATAAATGATAGGTCACTTGTCCATGTAACTTACATGTGCCTTATTGACTTTTATAGGCTTCATCCCAAACATATAATTCCATTGAATAATGGATTGCTACTGTGACTAGGTGGCTTTATGGTGTATCTGATAAAACCCAGCTTATGATGGGCAGCTCAGTTAATCACTTGATATCATATATAGTCAGATTCTCAGCTTCTACTGGGCACATGCTAGGTGTTGCTTTTCAAACAACAAGAAGGCAAGACCTTTGCTCCAGAAGCAAAGGGTCTGTGCTATTAATCTTCTATTAGGGCTGACTAGACATGCCACACAATCTTCATATCTACCATAGACATCTCTATCATCAATGGGTAATCTGAGCCATATAGTTCAAGGAGGAGGGCAACTTATATCATAGCCTGATCCTGCAGCAGAGCCCTCTCTTGTTCTGGGCCCCACATAAAGCATGTAGTCTTCCAATTCAGAGCTGTATTCCTGAGAAAGTGTATGATGCTTTCAAAAGCAGAAGTCCCCAACATGCTGTGTCTCTTTCTTACCGGTAAAGGGTGAAAGTTCACTAATCTGTCCTTTACTTTGGAAGGGATGTCCCAGCACCTTCCAGACTACTGGATCTCTAAAAGCTGTAGGGATCTGAATCTTCCATCCTCTGGCTGGTGTGCATCTTATAGAACACCAAGAGTTCTTTCTGCTTTCTGTTTACCAGATAGATGCAGCTGATGTTATCAGTATAGAGGATCAACACAAGGTTCTGTGTAATGTGAGAATGAACAAAATCCCTGAAGACTACACCGTGGGCCAGGCACGGTGACTCACACCTGTAATCCCAGCACTTTGGGAGGCCAAGGCAGGTGGATCACTTGAGGTTAGGAGTTCGAGACCACCCTGGGCAACATGGTGAAAACCTGTCTGTACTATAAATACAAAAATTAGCCAGGCATGGTGATGTGTGCCTGTAGTCCCAGCTACTCAGGAGGCTAAGGCAGGAGAATCGCATGAACCCGGGAGGTGGAGGTTGCAGTGAGCCGAGATGGCACCACTGCACTCCAGCCTGGGTGACAAGGACTCTGTCTCAAAAAAAAAATAAATAAATAAAAATTAAAAAAAAAAAAGACTACACTATGAGAGAGAGCAGGAGAGCTAACATAGTTCTGGGGCAATCAAGTTAATACGTATTGCTATCCTTTCCATATAAACACTTGATATTCCTAATGATTGAAAAAATGTTTGTCAGAACAACAGCCACATATCATGCAGAGGCTGTGTTGATATGTTCCAGGAAAGGTACCATGCTTGACATGGTAGACATGATTGGCACTATCACTTTATTAAGTTGATAATATTCCCTTGTCTTCCACCATGGCAGATGCCATACTGGTAAATGCAGAGGATGCTACCTCTGCATCCTTTAAGTCTTTGGAAGTGGTGCTAATCTCAAAAATTCCACTCAGAATGCAATATTGTTTCTGGTTTGCTATCTTGGCTGGGATAAGGAAGGTACAATTTTAGGGATTTTTCACTTGATCCTCCCTACCACAATGGATTTTTTTTTTCCCATAGGTCAGGAAGCTCACGAGAAGCTTTTAAGAATATTTATCCCAGGTATGCACTAGAGACCAGGGAAACAATCAGAGGGACCCCACTGGAGCAATTGAAAATACTGTGAAATGGACTGGAGCCCAAACTCCATCTATTACCTGGTATCCATAGCCTCCACTCTATTTGAGGGACAATGAGGACATTTTAGATCACTTGATATCAAGTTAACTGAGCCCTTATACAACAACCTTTGAGAGGATTGGGTATTCCACTTGTTTCACTTTGCTAAGTGGTTTAAAGTCCTTTGAAGAAAGATTGGGTGAACGTTCACCATATATACTCCTGGTAACATAGGTAGCATTTACTTCAGGCTTGCTGTCACTTTGCTGCCGATGGTTGAATGCCACTACCTGCCTCCTGCCATTAAGGAATCCTATCATCTCAATTAGTACTAAAGAGCCCAGTTCTACAGCATCATATCCTACTGTGAATCCTGGCCTGTTGGGTACAGCTTCTGATGATTTTATCAAAGATGTTGATGTCACCCTCAGTGACATCCTTTATTATCTTAATCAAGAGAGTGTTCTCTGGGCCCTTCCTGGGAAAAATGGTACATTTGCTCTCTTGTCATTAAATAAATGCAATCAACATATCCACCTCTCTCTGCCTCTGACCTCTTCTTCACTTTGATAAGGCATTTCCAGCATTCCTGCCTCATTTAGTGTAGGCCATCATGACGAAGTCTCAAGAAGCCACCCCAACAGCCTGTTAAGACCAGCTCATGTGTCATAAAGATGAGATACTATATCTTTAGTCATAAGAGAGTGCTCCTGTGTCAGTAAACTCTCCTCTATCCAGCCTTATATTCTGCCTCTCTGGTCCAGCCCACACAAGACTTATCTTCACTCATATTCTCCAACTTACTGCCAGTACTTATTAGCCAGTACCTAAAATTCTTTCAGTAAATAAGCTATTTCTTCCCAGCTCAAGGACTATATTTTTCTTCTCAGCTGAATTCTGAGATTAGTTAATCTAAAAGCAGTCGGGGAAGGCAGAATTAGATCTTGAAGAGACAGGAGTCATTTTACAAGCCATCCACCTCAGACAAACACTTCACATGGTCTCCAGGTAAGGGGAGGTTGCTCTCCTCTAGGGTGGGAGAAATAGCTCCTTTGGTTGGCATGGAGGGTTCAGAAGAAATCAGTGACTCAAGATCCTCAAGCACATGCACTCGAATTGTCTCATCCCAGGTCTCAGAGTCTCACTCCTTTGACATGAGGGCCCTGACTTTAGCAAAGGAGGCTTGTTGAGGCGGCATCTTTTATCTCTTTGCCACTCGGCCTTCCTTACAGTTA